>NT_167245.2:0-132470 GCF_000001405.40 Homo sapiens
TGGCTGTAGGAAACCAGGTCTTTCCCTCCCAAGGGAGGTGAACTACAAGCTTCTGTTCCACAGGAAAACATAACCCTTTTTGTCCAAAACTGACACCGCTTTGAGAGCGACCAGCGGCTTTTTCCATCTCTGAAAATAATTTTCTCAACTGTGTATTTTGAAAGTCTCGGAGTTTCGCCAGAAGCGTCTTTCGTTCGGAAAAAATTCTAAACATTCCTTCTTTAGAGAAAGCTGAGATCACAGCGCTCCCATGACTAATGATTGGACCCACTTTTGCCGCCCAACCAAGATTCTATGAGTGGTGGAAATGTAGGGGAGAATGAGGAAAGGTCTGTAGTCTGTCAGATATGGGTGGAGTGGGGGTGGGGGGGGGAGGAGAGAAATCTAATGGATGTTTTCCAAGGGCGATTTTTTTTTCTTCTCTTTCTGTTTTTTATTCCCCCCCGATTTCTTAATAGTAATGAGAAACGGCAGCAAAGGAGAACGAGTCTTTTTTTTTTTTTTTTTTTTTTTTGTGATGGAGTCTTGCTCAGTCGCCCAGGCTGGAGTGCAGTGGCGCGATCTCGGCTCACTGCAAGCTCAGCCTCCCGGGTTTATGCAATTCTCCTGTCTCAGCCTCTGGAGTAGCTGGGACTACAGGTGCCCGCCACCACGCCCGGCTAATTTTTTTTTTTTTTTGTATTTTTAGTAGAGATGGGGTTTCACCATGTTAGCCAGGATGGTCTAGGAGAACGAGTCTTCTATGACCGGCATGCCTGTTGCTTCACTCTCAGGGGATCTTGAATAAGCAGCTTCTCTATTTCAGTAAATAACTATAAAGCTGTGCTGAAGCAGTCAGGTTGGGAGGCTGAAGGAGTGTTAGGACCCATAGTACAAATGAATGAGTACCAAATGGCTTACCTTCGCTGTGAGTAGGAAAAACACAAGCTAGTGTATGCACAAAGAAAAAAGAAAAGACTGGAACTAAGTATTCAAAGACTGAAACGAAATGTTCAACGATAGATATAAGGAAATGTACTTGTGGAAGTGCTGGGGATCGAACCCAGAGCCTCATGAATGTTAAGCATACGCTCTACCACTGAGCTACACCCCCACTTACAATGCCGTTTTCTTACTGATTTATTATATGCTATTATCTAAAGGTGAGGGCTTAAGGCATGATAGGTTAAAGTCCGCTATGTTTTAACTCCTGTTTCTGAAACTTCTGAATGGAATCTTGTCTTGACGCTGTGTCAAGAGGAGAAAGGCATTCTGGACCGAAAGACCCTTGGATCCTCTCACAGCCGTCATCTATTTCAAGGACTGCTGTTAGCCAACTTTCTTTGTCAGTTTCCGTCCACCTGGAGCGAAGTTCCAAGATTGAATCTTCTGGTATGTCTTCAGATTCTCTCCTTTTTAAAAAAACCTCCTCTATGGAGCTGCCAACACACACACACACACACACACACGCGCGCGCGATAGTGCCAGAGAATATAAAGACGAGTTCTGTGAGTGCTGCAGAGGAAACGTAGATCCAGGTGAGGAGACAAGACAAGATGTTAATGCACAAAAGTCAACTAAAAACGAATTTAAATCTTAAACTTAAGCCCCTAAACTGTAAAATTCCTTGAAGAAAACAGGGGGGAATATTCTTGACATTGGTTTAGGCAATGGTTTCTTGAGTATGACACCAAAAGCACAGGCAACAAAAGCAAAAATGGATAAGCGAGACTATAGCAAACTAAAAAGCTTCTTCACAGGAAAGAAAACAATCAACAAAGGAAAAAGGCAAGCTATGGAATGGGAGAAAATATTTGCAAATCATTTATCTGATAAGGGGTTAATATACAAAATAAATTTTTTAAACCGCTACAAGTCAATAGCCACACACACACACACACACACACACACCCCTTAGAATCCCAAATAACCTGATTTTTAAAACGAGCATAGGACTTGAATAGACATGTCTCCAAAGAAGACATACAAATAGCCACTAGGTATGTGAAGAGGTGCTCTTAACATCACTAATCATCAAGGAAATGCAAATCAAAATCACAATAGATACCACCTCACACCTATTAGGATGTCTGTTATTAAAAAGAAAAAACTCAAAAGGTAAGTGTTAGCAAAGATGTAGAGAAATTGGAACCCTTCTACACTGTTGGTGTGTAAAATGATGACACCACTATGGAAAATAGTAAGGGGTCGCCTCAAAAGATAAAAATAGAACTACCATATGATCCAGCAATCCCACTTCTGGGTATATGTCCCCAAAAAATCGAAATTAGAATTTCAAAGAAACATATGCACTCCCATGTTCACTGCAGCATTATTTACAATAACCAAGATAAGGGAACAATCCAAGTGTCCATTGAGAGATGAGTGGACAAAGAAAATGTGGTATATACATACAATGGAATATTATTCAGCCTTTTATAAAAAAGAAATTCTGCCATTTGCACCAGCATCAATGATTAACCTGGAGGACATTATGCTAAGTGAAATAAGCCAGTCACAGAAGGACAAATATTTCATAATTCCACTTATATGAGGTATCTAAAATAGTCAAACTCATAAATGCAGAGAACAGAATGGTGATTGTCAGGGACCAGAGGCAGAGGGAAATGGGGAGTTGTTGCTCGGTGAGTTAAAATTTTAGTTATGAAACATGAATAAGTTCTAGAGATCTATTGCACAACCTAGTGCCTTCAGTTAACAATACCATAATGTACACTTAAAATTTTGTTAAAAAGATAACTCGGCCGGGAGCGGTGGCTCACGCCTGTAATCTCAGCACTTTGGGAGGCCGAGGCGGGCGGATCACGAGGTCAGGAGATCGAGACCATCCTGGCTAACGCGGTGAAACCCCGTCTCTACTAAAAATGTTTTAAAAAATTAGCCGGGCGCGGTGGCGGGCGCCTGTAGTCCCAGCTACTCGAGAGGCTGAGGCAGGAGAATGGCGTGAACCCGGAAGTCGGAGGTTGCAGTGAGCCGAGATCGCACCACTGCACTCTAGCCTGGGCGACAGGCGAGACTCAGTCTCAAAATAAAAAAAAAAAAAAAAAAGATAACTCTGATGTTTAAGTCTTCTTACCACCCATGAACATGAAAGAACACAAAGAAACTTTTGGAGTTGATAAGTGTGTTTATTACCGATTGTGGAAATAGCATTATAAATGTATGCATATGTCCTCACTCATATGCTTACCTTCAACGTGTAGGGGTTTTGCATATATCAACTGTACTTCAATAAAGTTGTTAATAACTCCTGAAAAACAACCAAACAAGCAAAGACAAGAGGTTAATTCACAACATTGACAAAAACAAAGAGTGACAAAGGTAGCAGTTTTGCACAAGGTTGCGTCCAACATCTGGATTTGGAAATGTGGCAGCGGCTTCATCGGCGACTCTACAGCTATAGGTTTTTTTGTTTTTGATTTTTTATAGAGACGGGATGGGGGAAGGGGGCGGGTCGGTCTTCTCCCTGTGTTGCCCAGGCTGGTCTTGAATTCCTGGGCTTAAGCAATACTCCCGCCTCCGCCTCCAAAAGTGCTCGGATTACTGGTGTTTGCCGCCAAGCCTGACTAGCTCTGGTTTTAAAGACAACACAAACGAAGCCGAAGACAGAGGACTCTTTCAGAGCAAATTTTTTTGAGCAAGGAGGAAAGCACAAAGGAAGCTGGTCTCAACCTGAGAAAACCAATTCACCCTTTGTAAAACCCTCCCTACACCCCCACAAGTGAGAAAATTTCATCAGTCCCTGAAGTGCAGAAAGTAGACCCTTCCCATCTGTAGCCAAAATGTGGTGCGACTGTTTAATCCAGATACGAATTTTGGAGAACATTGTAAACCCAGCAGGGGCGTAAGGGAGAGTAGGGAGAAGTTTGTCCCTAATGTACAGGTTATGTTCTTACTATACTAGAAAGGCAAGTGGCTGGGAACTGAAATGAGCTGAGGAGTGGACGCAAGGGAAGGCTTTGAAAAGGAAGGAAGGGCTCTTGGAGCCGGGAGGGATAACACTGAGTGGAGGAGAGAAGAAGCAGCGGAGAAGAAGGCAGAAGAAAAATCGGGGACGCGTCTTTAAAGACGGATAGTATTGAGACAAGCGTGGAGGAAGAAAGCAGCCAAGCGCCGCGTCTCTGCCAAGCTTTCTCTAGGCCCTGGGGAAGAGAGAAGGCTCTAGGTGAGTGGTTTCAAAGTGTATATCCCACAGAAGGGTACGGCTCGTGTTGCCCAAGATTTTGTGACTCTGAGAGTGCCTCACTGCACTGCACTCTCCATCGCAGGAAACAGGCTGAGCATTTTCGAGGGCGTGTGGTTGAGTATTCGTGGAGCAGTAGCCCCTGGTATTGGAGGTTTGAGGAAAGTGACGTTGTGTCAGTTCTCATGTGGAAGCAGCCTGCAGCTTTGATGCAGGCAGCAACTGTTTAGTTTGTGTTTCTTTTTGTTTGTTTGTTTATTTTCGCGTGTTTGGGTTTAAAATACAAGAGAAAGAATGAGGAAGAAAGGTTAAGTAGTGACTGAACGTTTTGGGTTAGAGTAGATACCCACTAAAACCATCGTACTTCTGGCTAGCTCAGCTGGAAATGCATCAGGCCACTAGTCCGGAAATTTAGGAATCACGATCCTGTTCTGATGTAGATACTTTTCATTTTCCCATACTTCTTTTTGATTCATACTCAACAGGCTACTGAACCCAGCTTTCTCCTGGAGCAACCGGGAGGGTATTTGCGGTGCGTTTTGCTGCTTATATTCTCTCTAGTCTCAGCGGAAGAGACAAGATTTGAACGGGGAAAGTCGGATTTGCAGAGAGGTATTCATTCAAGGCTCTTTTCTGCCCTACTGTCAAGTGGATGAACAAAACGCTGACTTAAGATATGAGGAGGATTGCAGTGTTGAGAGTGCAAAAAGTGTCAAGTCAAAACATGGACATATTTTGCTCATAATGTAGATAAATTATTTTGGTAGACATAAATTTTATTATTATTATTATATTTATTTATTTTTTGAGACGGACTCTCGCTCTGTCGCCCAGGCTGGACTGCAGTGGCGCGATCGCGGCTCTCTGCAACTTCCGCCTACCGGGATCAAGCGATTGTCCTGCCTCAGCCTCCCGAGTAGCTGGGAGTACAGGCGCCCGCCACCACACCCGTTTAATTTTTGTATTTTTAGTAGAGACAGGGTTTCACCATATTATTCGGGCTGGTCTCGAACTCCTGACCCCAGGTGATCCGCCCGCCTCGGTCTCCCAAAGTGCTGGGATTACAGGCGTGAGCCACAGCACCCGGCCATAAATTTATTAATATAAAAAATTATTGGTCAGGAGCAGTGGCTTACACCTCAAATCCCAGCACTTTGGGAGACCAAAGCAGGAGGATCAATTGAGTTCAGGAGTTGGAGACCAGCCTGGCTAACATAGTGAGAGCCTGTCTCTACAAAAAAATAGAAAAATTAGCCAGGTATGGTGGTGCACACCTGTGGTCCCAGCTACACCAGAGGCCAAGGCAGGAGGATTGCCTGGGCCTAGGAGTTTGAGGTAGCAGTGAGCCATGCTTGCAGTGCCACTGCACTCCAGCCTGGGTGACAGGGCGAGACCTCAACTCAAAAAATAAATAAAATAAACTTTACTTAAAAAAAATTACTGAGGGGACAGCCAGAGTGGCTCACGCCTGTAATCCTAGCATTTTCGGAGACCAAGACAAGAGAACTGAGTCCAGGAGTTTGTGCTCAAGTAATAACAATACTATCAGCACTCAATCTTGGTATCTTAAAACTTGACATTTAAATGAAATTTTAATTTGAGTCAATTAAGAATAGAATATTCCACTTTTGCATAATTAACCATGAATTCACACAACAAATCAGAATTTATTTATTTCATTTTTATTATTATTATTTTTTGAGATGGTGTCTCACTCTGCCACCCAGGCTGGGGTGCCAGTGGCGTGATCTCAGTTCACTGCAACCTCCACCTCCCGGGTTCAAGTGATTCTCGTGTCTCAGCCTCCCTAGCAGCTGGGATTACAGGCGCACGCCACCAAACCCAGCTAATTCTTGTGTTTTTAGTAGAGATGGATTTCGCCATGTTGGCCAGGCTGGTCTTGACCTCCTGACCTGAGATGATCCGCCCATCTCGGCCTCCCAAAATGCTGGGATTACAGGCATGAGCCACCATGCCCGGGCCAAATTGGAATTTAGCACCCACATTTATCTTAACTCAGTAGTTCCTAAGTAAAAGAGATTTGTAAGGCCAGGCGCGGTGGCTCACGCCTGTAATCCCAGCACTTTGGGAAGCCGAGGCGGGCGGATCACGCAGGAGATCAAGAACATCCTAGCTAACATGGTGAAACCCCGTCTCTACTAAAATTACAAAAAAATTAGCCGGGCTTGGTGGCATGCGCCTGTAGTCCCAGCTACTCAGGAGGCTGAGGCAGGAGAATCGCTTGAATCCGGGAGGCGGAGTTTGCAGTGAGCCGAGATCGCAGTTCACACCACCGCACTCCAGCCTGAGCGATAGAGCGACACTCCGTCTCAAAAAATTAAATAAATAAATAAATAAATAAGTATTTGTTTGTATGTCAATCTAGGAACAATTCACAGCCGTCTCTACTTTGAACCACCCAAAAGGCTGATTTATGTGAATTTAATTTCACTTGACAATTAATTAAACTCCTCTGCATATCCTGCCTTTTGTTTTGTTTCTTGTTTTGTTTGTTTACTAAGAGACTGCAATCTGCTTGTAGTTCACCCCTGCTCAAGCAAGACATACATTCAGTTTTGTTTTTTCAGTTGTGAGTAAATACCTCTTTTCCTCAGCAATATGTGGGTCCTGTGAGTTTCTTAGAGGGCCCTGGCTCATTTTGCTGATAGGGTTGCCAAACTCTTAGTGTGATAATAGTGCATTCTTTGACCACTTTGTTTCTAAATTCTGGCCATCCTTCAAAACTATGAGCTCGAGCGAGTGTCCCAACCACATGAGTTCCAGGTTGTTGTAATTGAGCCTTTATCAGTACATTTTGATGAAAGCTTTTCCTATTAGGATTTGGATTTGTGACCTTCAGATTTTTGTGGAAATTTATTAACAATGTTTGACTCTCGAGTTTTGAGAGCCCAAAGAAAGTTTTTGATAGAAACTTTCTTTTCTTGGTGATATACTCTCCTTGATTGTGACTTCTTCCTCTTCTTCCTCTTTTTGTTCTTTTCTTTCTCCTTCACCTTCTCCTCCTCGTTCTCCTCCTTGTTTCTGCTTTTGTTAACCAAGGTCTGGAAAGATTTTACTTTTCTGTTTACTGTTTTATTTAAGCTTGTGTTGAGAGTAATAAGGAAATCGTAGAAATCAGAGAGAATGGCATAGGCCCTGTAAGTCACCATCATCTTTAATGCGGATGTTAACCAGTACAAGAACCCCGTTAGAGTTGCATTTGCTTTCTAGGGCAAGATCTTTGCTCTAAGTTTTTTTAAACACATGGCTGTCTATCTTTAAAAAAACAAATCATTTTTATTTTATAGAGTATAATTGTCGAACAGTCTTAGCTTTACAGAAAAATTTAGAAGATATTAGAGTTCCCATATACCCTGCACCCAATACCCCTACTATTATGATAGTCCTTACTATTAAGATGGTACTTTTCTGCCGCGCGCGATGACTCACGCCTGTAATCCCAGCACTTTGGGACGTCAAGGCGGGCAGATCACCTGAGGTCAGGAGTTCGAGACCAGCCTGGCCAATATGGTGAAACCCCTTCTCTACCAACAATACAAAAATCAGCCAGGCATGGTGGCGGGCACCTGTAATCCTAGCTACTCGGGAGGCTGAGGCAGGAGAATAGCTTGAACCCTGGAGGTGGAGATTGCAATGAGCAGAGATTGTGCCACTGCACTCCAGCCAGGGCGACAAAGTGAGACTCAAAAATAAATAAATAAATAAATAAAATGCCGGGCACGGTGGTTCACGCCTGTAATCCCAGCACTTTGGGAGGCCGAGGCGGGCGGATCACCTGAGGTCAGGAGTTTGAGACCAACCTGGCCAACATGATGAAACCTCGTCTCTACTAAAAAAACACAAAAATTAGCCGGGCGTGATGGCGGGCGCCTGTAATCCCAGCTACTCGGGAGGCTGAGGCAGGAGAATCGCTTTACCCGGAGAGGCGGAGTTTTCAGTGAGCCGAGATCGTGCCACTGCACTCCTGCCTGGGTGACAGAGCGAGACTCCGTCTCAAAAAAAAAAAAAAAAAAAAAAAAAAAAAAAAAAAAGAAAAGGGTGATTTTGTGTTGTGTTTGTTAAATTCATGAAACAAGTAGGACAAGACCATAAATTGAAAAACCAAGCCCATTCCAAATTACGAATGCCTCCGGTAGTACCTATGCCAGGGACAAAGTGCACTTTAATAGTCAATACACAGGTTGCTTACCGGGTTCTTGTTTTTTTTGTCAATAGTCTTCTTTCATTTCAAGTTCCCAAAGTCTTGGGAACAAGCCGGTTTTTTTTTTTTTAACTGGCTTGCAGAAAGCTCAAGGAGATGTGCAGAAAGTAAAGATATTTCCTGACAATAGTAAGAACACGACCACGAAGGGACTCGAACCCTCAATCTTCTGATCCGGAATCAGACGCCTTATCCATTAGGCCACGCGGCCGCACGCGGGTGCTAATTTGCACACATCAAGACTGAAGTGTAGTGAGGAAACGTTGAGTTTCTGTTTTCAAACCTTTAACTTCGTAATTAGAGATTTAACAACTTGAAGGGGGGCGGGGAGAGGCGGGGGAGGAGGTGGGCAGAAGGAATAAAACTCCATCTAAAATTCCTAATAGCAATTCCTTAGAATTATAAACTGCGAGATGATCAGAAGTGACATCTTTGCCTTCTTTGAAGGCTCTCTTCTCTAAGTTACTAATAATGATAATGCACGTTCGGGTACAGAAATATGAGCCAAGAACTCAAGTCTGCAATGAAGGAGTGGACATGACAGCGTAAGAGGGAGCATCATTGTTTGATCTATTTTAACCTTTTCCGTCTCAAAGATACGATGGTGCTTCCTCCAGGAAGAAAAGCCTGTAAGCTCAAACAAGAGCTCCCCTGGAACAGAAGACACTGGAGACCGTAAGAGGTGGGAGGTTGGAAGGGGGAAAAGGATAGAAAAACTGCCTGTTGGGTATTATGCTCACCACATGGGTGACGGGTTCAATCGTACTCCAGACATCAGCAACACGCAATACACCCTTGTCCCAAACCTGCACTGTACTCCCTGAATCTAAAATAAAAGTTGAAATTAAAAAAAAAAAAAAAGCTCCCCCTTGTCAGAAAAGCCCCAAGTATTTTGCCTAAAGGTTGATTGCTCTAAGCTCACCTTTGGATTGATCCAGAAAACAGTCTGGGGCGATTTTTTGTTACCCTTTCCCCAGCTATGTCCCCTATGTTGATAGGGTAGGAAAGATTAAAAAAAAAAACAACAACCAAGTTTGTAAAGTAAACCAATCACAGATTCCCTCAGTTTTCGCATCGTCTTGGCTTCATGGAAATGACGAGTTACTGGGAAGAAACTATTTCATTTTTCCAGTGCCCAGTCCTATCTCCTTTCCCCAGAGAGATGCATCTCTCAGCCCTAAACTTTTCCTGGATCCCTTGTACACCATTTTCTCCAGGTTTCTCCAGTCAAAACTCAAGAATTGTTTTAGGCCATATTTTGGATGGTGTATCCTATGTACACTAATTTATTAAGTAATGACCCATGTTTGAGACCACGGAACGCTAGTTCTGGGGCCGGACTAGATGAGTCTGGGTAGACAAAAGAAAGGTCTTCTGCTGTTCCCTATGAAACTGATTTAGTTAAGTCCCTTTCTTTCTCAGAAAGCGTCCTATGAGGAGCATTAGATTGAATAAGGGTTTCTGGTGTGATCCAGTTTGGGGAGGCTACTTGCTCTAGTCAGTGCTGAAGAATCCATCTCCATTTTGGGCAAGATGCACTACCATGACTTATGTTTCAACAGACTCAAACTTATTCACATGTTTTGAAATTGTTCTCAGTTTTGCTTCCTCACCTTCTCACTAGTGGATTTTGTGCCCAAAGAATAGCAATCCAAAATCTCAAAATCTAACAAATTTAAATAAAAGGGCATTTTTTGTTCAGTCTGGAGGAGGAAAAGTTAACTGGCAGACGTAGGCAGCAGATAGTAAAGTTGGCACAGTTAGTAAGGTTGGTAGACTGAGCCAAACCATCGAAATCTATTTATTTATTGTTATATTTATTTATTTATTTATTTATTCCTGCTGTTTGCAGAGCAGGGGTACCCTATAGAAAGTGTGTCCAAAGTAGCCTGAAATTTCTTTCTTCAGGAAGATGCTAAAAAGGATTGGCACTGAGATTTGAAAGAATAATGCTAAGAAACTATTAAATTGTATGAAATGTTTGTTTATACCAGTGATACCATTTCCTTTCCAAAGCCTTTCAGTGTTTTCTCTGATGCCTTTTGATTTTTATCTGATGGGTTCCAGGCAAGATTCCTTTAAAATGTTTAAATATTTCTAACAAAAGTATTTTGGGAGGAATCCAAGAGAGATTTGAAAGTATGACATTCTTAATCTCTCTATAACAATCTGTCTAGATAATTTCACTGAAGAAATGAATGGAGGAGGGTGTCTGTAGATAAAGGTTTCTATAATTGAGATTTGAAAAAAATAGAATTTATTTATTTGTTTAGATGAAACCAGACAACTTTCCAAGCCCTGAATCAAATTGGGGGATGTATTGCACCTTTAGACAAAGAATCTCCCAATGTAGCTACTTTAGCCATTTTACAAAAACCCATAATGCATGACCCTAATAATGTTCTTAACTTTAGAATTTGGAAAACTCAGCATTTCCTGTGAGGTGTGATCCAGTGTACAACAAACGTTCACTCACACACACAGAAAGAACTAAGATTTGCAGCACTTATGGTCTGGTTATTGACCTGACGTGTGTGTGTGTGTGTGTGTGTGTGTGTGTGTGTGTGTGTGTGTGTGTATGTGTGTGTGTGTTGGGGATGGGGGCTACTGTGAAAGGAAAGGATAAAGAAAACTCAGCCAAGTAAAGATTTTCTACTCACATATCTATTTACCATTCTTTTGTCTATATGTCTTTTAAAAGAAGACATACAAATGGCAAATATATGAAAAGGTGCTCAACACCATTGATCATCAAATAAATGCAAATCAAAACTAAAATGAAATGTTATCTCACCCAAGTTAAAATGACTTTCATCCAAAAGACAGGCAAGGACGTGGAGAAAGGAGAACCCTAGTACACTCTTGGTGGGAATTTAAATTAGTACAACCGCTTTGGAGAATAGTATGGAGGTTCCTCAGAAAACTAAAAATATTACCATATATTCCAGCAATCCCCCTATTAGGCCTATACCCAAAAGAAAGGAAATTAGTATATCGAAAAGATATCTACACTGTCATCTTTATTGCAGCACTATTCACAATAGCCAAGATTGGGAAGCATCCTAAGTACCCATCAACAGATAAATGAATAAAGTAAATGTGGTACGTATACACAACGGGGTACTATTCGGCCATGAAAAGAATGAGGTCTTGTCATTTGCAAAGCGGATGGAACTATGTTCTGTGCGGGAAATGCGAGAGGGGAGAAGAAAAGACACACACACAATACCTTTAAGGGTAAATAACCTTTATCCCACGTAAACGGCAATGCAGATATAATAAACAAATGATACAATAAGCAAATTGCAATGGGAAGGGGAGAAGGGAAAAGATATATATATATATATATATACACACACTCACCAAATATATATATATATATATAAATATATATATTTATATATATGTACACTCACAAGACTATGAAGGATTCATCACCACACCGGGAAGCAACAGCCCCGGCTCCAGAGTCGGCCACTCGTCCATGCACAGAGAAGGAGAGGTCTCATGAAGCTCACGAGAGCCCTTCGCGACTGAGCTCAAGGAACAAGAAAAGGTCAACTTGTTTTTGCGATTGTCTGTTGTTTTTCAATAACTAACGTATAGGAATAGATTGAAATAGAGATTTCTCCAAAACAGCACTGGATGAACAC
Source organism: Homo sapiens (assembly GCF_000001405.40). NCBI lineage: Eukaryota > Metazoa > Chordata > Mammalia > Primates > Hominidae > Homo > Homo sapiens. The sequence continues at coordinate 12,059 of NT_167245.2, forward strand.
CTCAAGGGGTTCATACAACCTGTTCAGGATTTGGTGACCATTGTTTGTGTCCACGTTCAATTGAGTTCAAATTTAATACGTAACTTTTCCTCCACAAACTAGAGGACATTAAGTTAAGCTATACACAGAAAGTAAAACTTCACATATTCTCTCTCATTTGTGGAAGCCAAAAATAAAACAATTGAACTCATGGAGACAGAGAGTAGAATGATGGTTACCAGATGCTGGGAAGGGTATTGGAGGGGGCAGTGAGATGGTTAATGGATACAAAAATATAGTTAGCATGAATAAGATCTATCATTTGATAGCACAACAGGGTGATTATAGTCAACAAAAATGTATTGTACATTTAAAAATAACTTAAAGATTATAACTGGAATGTCTGTAACAAAGAAATGATAAGGTGTTGAGGCGATGGATGAGGTGATGGATGCTTCGTTTATCCCAATATGATTATTACACATTGTATGCCTGCATCAAAATATCCCATGTATCATATATATACATATATATACTATGCAGCAGTAAAAATTAAAAATTAAAAAAAAGATCCATAGACGAAGAAAAAATATCTTCAAAAATAAAACAAGAAAAAAACAAAGAAAAGATCCATTATTAATTACTGCCTTTGTCTGTCTGTGTTTGGAGAACGAATATCTGGCAGAAAAATGCTTGCTGTGTTTAACATCACTATTTCTAAAACCTTTAGACTGTGACCAGCAAAAGCGGCACTAAATACTAAACCAAAAGACACTGTTACACGCGGTTTTCCTCTCTGGCCAGCCAGACCGCCGGTCTGAGGTCCACTTGCCAAAGTGATGCCTGGCTGGCAGTTTCATCCACCAACAGAAAGGGGTCCATTATGGAATGTTCTCTTGCATCTTCAAATTCTTCCTCCTTCGTCTCTCTTACCCTCTGCCTACAAAGGCTTCAAGAAAGAGATGCAAGACAATACTGAGGGATACGAACAAAAGTAGCTCCACAGTTGCCTCGAGAAGTTTAGGTTGCAGGTAATTGGCGAGAATGAAACCCTCTGTATCTAGCAACTCCGCAGTGCTTTGTGTAGAAGACGCTCCATCTCAGGTTACGAAAATCTACAGAAAGGAAATGTTTAAAAAGAGAAAAGGAAAATATTCCTAGGGATTATAATGTCTCTCTTAAGCAGGGTCTTCGAAAAGAGGATAATTCAAGTAATATGATTTACAAATTGCAACATGAAACAAAATGAACTGAACAAATGGAGAAATCTAGATTACATACTCCGTGGGTTGCGTCTACCCAGGGCCTGGATAGCTCAGTTGGTAGAACATCAGACTTTTAATCTGACGGTGCAGGGTTCAAGTCCCTGTTCAGGCGAAATATTTGTGTGTTTTACTCTAGCTCCGGAGTCCCCAACCTCCAGTAAACGTAACCGCGTATCAGGCAGCGCGGCAGGCGAGCCAGAGAAGTTTCATCTGTCCTTATACAGCAACTCCCCAACGCTCCTGCGACCGCCTGAGCTACTCTTCCTCCCAGATAAGCGGGGGCGTCAGATTCTCACAGAAGTCCAAACCCTATTGTGAACTGCGTATGAAAGGGATCTAGATTGTGGGCTCCTTATGAGAATCTAATGCTTGATAATCCGTCACTGTTTTCCATCAGTGCCAGATGGGACTGTCTAGTTGCAGGAAAACAAACTCAAGGCTTCCAGTGATTCTACATTATGGTGAGTTGGATACTTATTTCATTATATATTACAATATAATAACAATATTAAAAAAGTGCACAATAAATCTAATGTGCTTGAATCATCCCAAAATCATCCCCCCCAACCCCTGCTCCCTCATCCATGGAAAAAACTGTCTTTCATGAAACGGTCTCTGGTGCCAAAAAGGTGGGGAACTGCCGCCCAAGATAGTTTATACCAATTAAGCACAGGAAGAAGTTCAGATACTTGTTTGTACAGTGACTAAAACTTTGCTACTTTATGCTTTACAAATGTGGAATGATTTACATCATGAAATTACCAGCCCTAAGGGATTGCCTTAGTGAAGTTGTTTTCCAAACACCAGAATACAGAAATCTAAACTATTTTAGAGACTGTTGACCTGGAGATTTGCATTTTTACATATTTTTTAGAGAATCTCCTTCAACGGTTAACTGAAAACAAAATCAATCAAAATTTCTAAACTCTAAAAACAGAGAAAGAGATATTGAAAGCAAGAAAAGAGACAAAACACCTTACCTACAGAGAAAACCAATTTGCATAACAGTGGGTATCTTATCAGAAATCACAGAAGTCAGAAAGAGTGGCACAACAGTTTTCAAGGACCGAAAGAAAAGAATTGTTAATTCTGAATTCTATATCCACAGAAAATATCCTTTAGAACTGAAGAAGAAATCAAGACATTTTCAGAGCAAAGAAAACTAAGATAATTAGCTTCTAGCAGAATTATCCTTTAAAAAATAGTTAAATTTCTCCAGATGGAAAGAAATGATAAAAGAAGAAATAATTGACACCAGGAAAGAAGAAAGAACATGGTAAGCAAAAAAAAAAAAGGTAAAAACAATACATTTTCCTTTTCCTCTTGAGCTTTCTAAATTATGTTTAACAGTTGAAGCAAAAAGTGTAACATGACCGGGCACGGTGGCTCAGGCATGTAATCCTACCACTTTGGGAGGCCAAGGTGGGCAGATCATGAGATGAGGAGATCAAGACCAGCCTGACTAACATGGTGAAACCCCGTCTCTACTAAAAATACAAAAAATTAGCTGGGCATGGTGGCACACACCTGTAGTCCCAGCTACTCGAGAGGCTGAGGAGGGAGAATCACTTGAACCAGGGAAACGGAGGTTGCAGCGAGCCAAGATCACGCCACTACACTCAGGCCTGGGCAACAGAGTGAGACAATGTCTCAAAAAAAAAAAAAAAAAAAAAAGAAAGAAAGAAAAAAGTATAACATGGTTCGATGTGGTTCGAAATGTATGTAGAAGAAATAATTTAAGACAATTATATTACAAGTAGGAGAGGCAAAGTGACAAAAAGGTAAAGATGACACACATCACTTTAACTGATAAAATAATGATACCAGTACACAGTGATAAATTAAATAAATATGTAATACTCAGACAAATCACTAAAAGAGTTATATAAAGAGATCATTTAAAAACACTACAGATAGGCTGGGCACAGTGGCTCACACCTGTAATGCCAGCACTTTGGGAGGCTGAGGGGGATCACCTGTGGTCAGGAATTCGAGACCAGCCTGGCCAACATGGTGAAACCCTGTCTCTACTAAAACTACAAAAATTAGCTGGGCATGGTGGCGCATGCCTGTAATCCCAGCTACTTGGGAGGCTGAGGCAGGAGAAAAAAAAAATCAAAAAAACAAAACCACACACACACAAAAACGCTACAGATAAATGACAATGAAATTCTAAAAAAGTATACTAGTAGTCCACAAAGAAGGCTTTAATAAATAAATACATACATACATACATATCCCCAGAAAATGGCAGTAACAGGGTACAAATAGAAAACAAACTGCTAGATTTCAGCCCTAACATATCAATAATTACATTAAATGTAAATGGTCGAAAGGTACCAATTAAAAGACAGAGATTAACAGAGTAGATTAGAAAATATAATCCAACTACATGCTGTCTACAAGAAACTTATTTCAAATATAATTATACATACAGGTTGAAATTAAGCATATAAAAATATATAACATTCAAATGTTAATTAAAAGAAAGCAAAAGTGAGTATATTAATATAATATGAACTTTATTTATTTATCTTTTTTCTTTGAGATGGAGTTTCACTCTTGTCACTCAGACTGGAGTGCAATGGCGCGATCTCTGCTCACTGCAACCTCTGCCTCCAGGGTTCCAGTGATTCTCTTGCCTCAGCCTCCCAAGCAGCTGGAATTACAGGCACGTACCACCATGACTGGCTAATTTTTGTATTTTTAGTAGAGATGGGGTTTCACTATGTTGGTCAGGCTGGTCTCAAACTCCTGACCTCAGGTGATCTACCCACCTCAGCATCCCACGGTGCTGGGATTACAGGCGTGAGCTACCACGTCTGGCCTAATATAAGCTTTAGAACAAAGAAAAATTTTAAAAATCCACCAAGAAGGCATAACAATCCTAAATATGTATAAACCAAACAGAGTTGAAAATATGTAAAGAAAAAAAGAATTTTTAAAAAATAGACAAATCCACAATTACATTAGAGACTTCAACACTTCTCTCATAATAATCGATAGAACAACTAAACAGAAAATCAGCAAGGATGTTGAAGAACTCAAAATCATCTTCAGCTAACAGAATTCAGTCAACATTTAAAGAAGACTCCACACAAGAAAAGCAGAACACACAGAACACAGGTCAAGATGGAACATATTCTGGGCCATAAAACAAACCTCAAATTTAAAAGAATTAACTCACACAGTATGATCCCTGACCACAATGAAATCAAACTAAAAGTCAATCACAGAAAGACAACAGAAGAACATCCAAACACTTGGAAAATGAACAACACACTACTAAATAGTACACAGGACAAAGAGAAAGACTTAGTAGATATCAAAAAATAAATTAACCTGAATAAAAATGAAAGCACAATATACCAAAATTTTCAAGACAACCTAAAAAAACACTGAGAGAGAAATGTATACCACTAACTGCATACATTAGAAAAAGAAAAAAGTCTCAAGTCAGTCATCTAAACTTTTATTTGAAGAACCCAGGTGGGGAAAAAAGCAAAATAAACCCAAAGCAAATAGACAAAAGATAACAATAAAAATAAGAACAAAATTCAGTGAAACGGAACACAAACAAAAAAAGAAAAACAAACAAAAAGCTAGTTCCTTTAGATCAATAAAAGAAGACCTCTAGTAAGACAGAAATTTTAGGAAGAGAGATGACACAAATTACCAATATCAGGAATAAAAAGAGGATATCACTGTAGACTCTGCTGACATCAAAAGGATATGTTTTTGGATGATTTCCTTTAAAAAATTTAGCCGGGCTCGGTGGCTCACACCTGTAATCCCAGCATTTAAAAAATAACTAGCCATGCATGGTGGCGGGTGCCTGTAATCCCAGCTACTCGGGAGACAGGTAGGAGAATCGCTTGAACCGGGAGGTGGAGGGTGCAATGGGCCGAGATAGCACCATTTCACTCCAGCCTGGGCAACAAGAGCGAAACTCCGTCGCAGACTTTTTCTCCCCCTTGTAAGGTCGGAGCGTTCCCACTCAGGAAACAACATTTCTCTACTCTAGGTTTATCTGGCCTCGCATCTCTCCCCAGCTGGGCCCAGCCTCAGCCTATGCTGCAGAAATGTTTAAAGTCAAGCATGTAGAGAAGGAAAAAAAAAAAGGAAAGTGATGTGGAAATTAAAATAGCAGCTGCATAGGAATCTCAACATAGTGCTTAAAATGTGCATAAACGAGACTAGGAGTGCCCTGCGCTTTTGTGAAAACTTCATTTAGAAATAAATGAGAAAGAAGGTGGAGAGGAGCCGAGAACCAGCAGGTGGGGAAAGGGAAGAGGCAGGCTAGAGTTAAAAAATGAAGGAGGAAAAGCATCCTCAAGATTATTCAGAATATATATATATATAATATACATAGTATATACTAATAATATATAAGGATATATTATATCCTAATAATATAAGTAAATAATAATATATAACTTGTTAAATAATCATATAAATAAATATATTTTATAATTATGTTATTTATTATATAATATTAACATAACATATTATCAATATAATATTTTATATAACATATGTAGTATGATATATCCTAATATATAAAAATAATATTAGGATAAGGGAATACTATTGTGGTGGTAAACTGAGGAACGGAAAGACTGATACAGGAGAACAGGAGGATATTTATTTTAAGGTAAGCAGCCACTGAGTGGATTCACATCCAAAAAGTTGAGCACTGGCCGGGCCTGGTGGCTCACGCCCATAATCCCAGCACTTTGAGAGGCCAAGGCTGGCAGATTACCTGAGGTCAGGAGTTCGAGACCAGCCTGGCCAACGTGGTGAAACCCCGTCTCTACTAAAAATACAAAAATTAGCCAGGCGTGGTTGCACATGCTTGTAATCCCAGCTACTCGGGAGGCTGAGGCAGAATTGCTTGAGCCCAGGAGGCGGAGGTGACATTGAGCCAATATCGTGCCACTGCACTCCAGCCTGGCCGACAGAGCAAGACTCTGTCTCAAAACAAAACAAACAAACAAAAAATGCTGAGCGTTGAACAAAGACAGAGCAGGAGTTTTTATAAGCAAAACAAAGGCAGTTAATCATACAGTGCTTAATTTGTGGCCTTGCAGCTGCGTCAAAAGAAAAACAAGAACTGACTAAATACAGACATTTGTAAAAACAGTTATGCTTAAGAAGCCAGGGAAAGGAGTAACAGTATAGGAATTTGCCTTTCCTTTTTTTCCCTTCAACCTTGTTCTTGGGTGGGGTGGGAGAAGGGCGTGTCTGGAAGCCGTTCCTTTGGCCTTGGCTTTTCGGAAAGTGTTATCTTGTAACTGTCCTTGAAGTGAGCTGCTAGGCAAACGAAAACTTGTTTCTTTTCTTTTTAACCCTTTCCTGTTACTTTTCTTGGAGTGAATGAATGCATATTTATTTTTAAATTTCTGCCTTACTATGAATAACTCTTTACACACAAACTTGACAATTTAGATGAGATAGACTAATTCCTTGAAAAACACAAATTAACACAACTAACTCAATATGTAATACATTTTTTATAACCCTGTAACTATTAAGGGAATTAAATTTGTAACATAATTTAAAAAAAAAATCAAGAATCTGGCCGGGCGTGGTGGCTCATGGCTGTAATCCCAGCACTTTGGGAGGCCAAGGCGGGCTGATCACCTGAGGTCAGAAGTTCGAGACCAGCCTGGCTAACATGCTGAAACCCCGTCTCTACTAAAGATACAAAAATTAGCCGGATGTGGTGGCAGGCACCTGTAATCCCAGCTACTTGGGAGGCTGAGGCAGGAGAATCGTTTGAACCTGGGAGGCAGAGGTTGCAGTGAGCCAAGATCGCACCATTGCACTCCAGCCTGGAGGCCAAGAGCAAGACTTCGTTTAAAAAAAAAAAATCAGGAATCTTCGAATCCAAGAAAATTTCACTGAAGAATTCTAAGAAGTTCTTAAGGAGGCCAGGGGCGGTGGCTCATGCCTGTAATCCCAGCACTTTGGGAGGCCGAGGTGGGCGAATCATGAGGTCAGAAGACCGAGACCATCCTGGCTAACACGGTGAAACCCCGTCTCTACTGAAAAAACAAAAAATTAGCTGGGCGTGGTGGCAGGGAGCCTGTAGTCCCAACTACTCGCTGGAGAATGGCGTGAACCCGGGAGGCGGAGCTTGCAGTGACACTCCAACCTGGGCGACAGAGCGCGACTCCGTCTCAAAAAAAAAAAAAAATGGTTAAAGAATTAAAACAAGGTCTACACAATCTATTCTGAAAAAAACAGAAGAGGACAAAAAACTTTCCATTTATTTATGAAGTTAATAGTATCCTGATGCTAAAACCAGGTAAATACAGTACAAAATAATGAGTATTGGTGCATAAATACTTACCAAAATATTATCAAATAGAATTCAGGAATATATAAGAAGCATTATACACCATGATCAAGTGGGGTTTATTCCAGAGACGTAAGACTAGGTAAATTTAGAAACAATCACTGCAATCCACCATATTAACAGGCTAAAAAATAAAATCACGTGATCATATCACAGTAGAAAAAGAATTTGTCAAACTTCAATAGCTACTCATGACAAAAAGTCTCAGAAAAATAGGAATAGAGAACAGCTAACACTGTACATCACGGTAAAAGACAGAATGTGTATTAGTCCGTTTTCACACTGCTATGAAGACACTACCTGAGACTGGGTAATTTTTTTTTTTTTTTAAGATGGAGTCTTGCTCTGTCGCCCAGGCTGGAGGGCAGTGGCCTCCTCTCGGCTCATTTCAACCTCCGCCTCCTGGGTTCAAGCAATTCTTCTGCCTCAGTCTCCCGAGTGGCTGGGACTACAGGCGCAGGCCACCATGCCCGGCTAATTTTTGTATTTTTAGTAGAGACAGGGTTTCACCGTATTGGTCAGGCTGGTCTGGAACTCCTGAACTCATGATCCGCCCGCCTCTGCCTCCCAAAGTGCTGGGATTCCCGGCGTGAGCCACTGTGTCTGGGTAATTGATAAAGGAAATAGGTTTAATTGAGTCACATAGCTGAGGAGGCTTCGGGAAACTTACAATCATGGCGGAAGGGAAATGGGAAGCAAGGACCTTCTTTACATGACAGCAGAAGAAAGAAGTATGAGCAAAAGAGGAACTTGCCAAACACTTATGAAACCATCAGATCTCATGAGAACTCACTCACTATCACCAGAACAGCATGGGGGAAGCCACCCCCATGATCCAACTACCTCCCACCAGGTTTCTCCCACAAAGTCAAAGGAATTAGAATAATTATTTAAAATCTAGGAGGGAAAAACAGTCTACCTGATTTCAAGACTATTTCATTACATTGTTGTATTCTTGTATTATTGTATTATTACTACAGTAATTAAGACTGTATAGTATTGGCAAGGAGATAGGCACGTGGTTAATAGAGAGAATGGAAAAATAAACCTACACAAATATTCTCAACTGGTTTTTGACAAAGTTGCCTAAGTAGTAATTCCATGGAAGAAAAATAAGTCTCATGCCTTCACAAAAGTGAACTTAAAATGGATCGCAGATATGAATATAAAATGTAAAACTATAAAACTTTGAGGAAAATATATGGAAGATAATATTTCCAATCTAGGGCTAGACAAATAATTTTACAGTTGACAGTGAAACATGATCCAGAGATCTTGTAAAAGCTGGTTCTTTTTTCCTCCTTTCCTCTCCTGCTATGTCAGTTGCTTTGGCTGGTACAGAGGCTGACCAAATAGAAATAGAAATAAGAGAGCAGTAAAGGCAATGAATTGGGTCATGTTTTTACTTTTTATGTGACAAAGAAATGACAGAATTGGTGGCCAGGTGCAGTGGCTCATGCCTGTAATCCCAGCACTTTGGGAGGCCAAGGAGGGCAGATCACCTGAGGTCAGGAATTCAAGACCAGCCTGGTCAACATGGTGAAACCCCACCTCTACTAAAAATTAGCTGGGCATGGTGACGCGCACCTGAAATCCCAGCTACTTGGGAGGCTGAGTCAGGAGAATCACCTGAACCCAGGAGGCAGAGGCTGCAGTGAGCCAAGATCACGCCACTGCGCTCCAGCCTGGGTGATAGAGTGAGACCCTGTCTCAAAAAAAAAAGAAAAGAAAAGAAAAGAAAGAAATGAGAGAAAAGGAAAGAAAAGGAGAAAGAGAGAAAGAAAGAAAGAAAAAGAAAGAAAGAAAGAAAGAAAGAAAGAAAGAAAGAAAGAAAGAAAGAAAGAAAGAAAAGAAAGAAAGGAAAAAGAGAAAGAAAGAGAAGGGAGGGTAGAATGATAAGAAAGGAAAGAAATAAAGAAAATTGGCTCAAAAGAGTCTCCTGGCTGACAAGAACTCTGGTGAGTTCTTCTACAGGAAAATCAGTCTCTTGTGTGTGACTACCAAAATCATCTAAAATGTTGACGGTGTCAAAGAGATAATAAATGCATCCCCACCCCTGATGTAAGGCAAATACAAACCTCACTGGCTTTCCTAGGTGGTTTGAGTTTTTGATTGAGAATAGGCAGGGAACCCCGGGAACAGCTCTTCCTCCTCAGCAGGCGCCTGGCCCTGGACCACCTTCTTAAACCTCTAGAACAGTGCTTCTCAAACTTTAGCATCAGCGGCTGGGCGGGTGGCTCACTCCAGTAATCCCAGCACTTTGGGAGGCCGAGGCGGGCGGATCACGGGGTCAAGAGTTCGAGACAAGCCTGACCAACATAGTGAAACCCCGTCTCGACTAAAAATACAAAAATTAGCTGGGCATAGCGGCGCGCGCCTGTAATCCCAGCTACTTGGGAGGTTGGGGCAGAAGAATCGCTTGAACCCGGGAGGCAGAGATTGCAGTGAGCCGAGGTTGCACCACTGCATTCCAGCCTGGGCGAGAGGGCGAGACTCCGTCTCAAAAAACAAAACAAAACAACTTTAACATCAGAGTCACTTGAGGGCTTATTCAAACACAGGCGGCTGGACGCCACCCTCAGCAATTCTGACTCAATAGATCTGAGGTTGGGCCTGGAATTTGGCATTCCTCTTGTAGCACCCTGATCCCTCACCCCTTATTCTCCTGTGCAGTGTCCACTGTGACTAACATGCCACTATTTGCTTAAAGTGCCTGGAGAGAACCAGTGGATAGAAGGGAAAACAAGTATGAAACGAAAAGAAAATGTCTGCATTACCTTCCTTCAAACAAAAAAAAAAAATGTATCTTATAACGAACATATGGTTTGTCCCTGGGGCACACAACCAGTCTTCAGCTAAGCAGGTTTCACTAGACAATATCTCTCCTGTAGGCTGGTTATGGATATTTTCACTGAACAAAAGAATCGAGAAGTAAGGACAGCCTACCCTGACAGAGTGTTAGACTGGTGGACTGATGACAAACATCGTACTCTGTTGCCTCTCAAAGACACTTTTGATTCAACGGCAAACATATACACAGAGGACAGCAGTTTTGAAACATGCAGCATTGGAAACCCCTAAAAGGTGTCATCAGTAGATAGGATTTCCTGGAGTTCCCTCGTCATACAAAGCAGATGTGATAGGATTGACAAAGAAAAAAGAATTTTTTTTTTTTAATTAGAAGTGCCAACACACCTGCAATTTACTCACCTTTACTTTGCATCTATTTTCCATTGTGGCAGAAAAGCTTTCTCTACTTTTTCATATGGGGCCTCTGTTTGCTGTTAACAGAGGTTTCCAGGCAATGTTTTATGTTATGTTATATTTTATTTTATTTTGAGACGGAGGTTCTCTCTTGCTGCCCAGGTTGGAGTGCAATGGTGGGATCTCAGCAAACTGCAACCTCCGCCTCCCGGGTTCAAACGATTCTCCTGACTCAGCCTTTTGAGTAGCTGGGATTACAGGCGTGCGTCACCACGCCCGGCTAATTTTGTATTTTTAATAGAGACGGAGTTTCTCCATGTTAGTCAGGCTGGTCTCGAACTCCCGACCTCAGGTGATCGCCCCGCCTCGGCCTTCCAAAGTGCTGGGATTACAGACGTGAGCCACCGCGCCCGGACCTCAGTGTTTTATTTTAACGAGGAGAATGGAGTGACTGATGCAATACAGGAAAATGAATCAATCGTATGGACTATCAGTAGGGAATGTGTTGATCCTTATTGATTTCGCTCCTTCCGTGTTGAAGACCTCTAATTCCCCGACAGTCTTCGTTCGGTTGTCCAGCGTCCTGCCACTCTCATCTCAAGCGGCTGGAGAGCCACATTTTCTCAGCTTTGGATCGCACTTGTGGCTGTGCTCTCTGCGCAGTTCGACAGGGAGAGAAATCAGTGGACAGATGCTTTGACTCTGGATTTGGCTCAGAAAACAAAAACAACGACCAAAACGAAATGCCCGGGGGGCGGGGGGGGGCTTTTCTGCCTTTCTTCTTCTCAGCCTTTCCTTCTCTTTAATCATAGTACAAAACCGAAGCCAAAGTGAGCCGCCTGTTGATGTGCACGCTTTTGTTTGCTTTCAAGAGACCCTGTTGCGACCTCATTCTTCTTTCTCCTCTTCCTTCTGCCGTCGCAATCGCCTTAGGTGATGTTGAGGCTTACATTATAGAGATGGGAGATAAGTGAAGGCAATCCATTGGGTTACGTTTTTACTCTCTATACGTGCAGAAATAGGATAGAAAAAGGTGAGGAGGCAGAAGGCTATGTTGCTTGAGAATTACATTTAAGCACTGCCAGAGCAAAACCACCATTTGGAGGTGCCGGGGATCGAACCCGGGGCCTCACACATGCAAAGCATGTGCTCTACCACTGAGCTACACCCCCCTCCTGAAAGACTGTTTTGTAATAATTTTCAGGAGGTAACTTTCATTTTCTGAGACTGGCTCCGTGAGCATGCTGGTAGTAGTGGTTAGTATCATGGAGCGCCTTCAGCTGCTCTGAGTAGAAGATACTCGGTACTAATGAGGGGATACAGATTCTTTAGTATACTGTACAGGACTTGAAATGGAAAGCAAAGTATTAGAAAAGTGTCAGATAACCGCCAAAAGAAGTTTCCAATGTGGCTTTAAAACGTTGAGTTGTCAGGATCTCCTTCTTCTGTTATGCTTGGCAAGGAATCAAATTCTGGTTTTTCATTCTTTCGATTTCTTTCAGAGATGACGCAAAGTTATTGAAATTCAGCTTTTTCTTACCTAAAATGCTTCATATTTGTTGTTTACTCAGCCGGAATATTAAAGGTTAGATTTGATTGAGGAAAATCACAGTCAGAAGAAAACCTGAGAGCGATGCACTCAGCATTTCATCTTAAGGGTCTTTAGCTGGTGTGTTGTCCTGCGCCTGTACTCACAGCTATTCCAGAGGCTGAAGCAGGAGGATCACTTGACCTTGGGAGCTGGAGGCTGCAGGGAGCTATGATCACGCCACTGCACTCCAGCTTGGGTGATGGAGTGAGACCCTGTATCAAAATCAAAAAGAAAAGAAAAGAAAAATTTATAAGGTGTGAGTGAAACAACACCTCTAGGGATGACGAGAAGAGTTGAATTATGAGGGTGAGATAAAAAATAAGTAGAAACAGGATTTAAGAGGTACGGGGGAAAGTGGTTTAGAAAAACAAACAGGCTATTGCCAAACAGAAGGAGGTGTAGAAAAGGGGAGTTTTTAACAACTCTTTAAGGAATGGGAGAAAGATTGGAAGATGGAGAAGATAAGTTAGCTTGGCTCATGCTAAATTCGGTGTATCTGTGGGGCACACTGTGAGGATGTTACATGGAGAACTCAGGCAATTGACTCTCCAGCCTGGGGTTTGTGAGCATTAGTAGTAGTAGACATATTGCATAGAGGGTGGATAAAGACTAAAAAGGGTCCTTTTAGATTTGGGAATTACAAACCTATTCACGATATTTGTTTAAAAGAAAAAAAAGCCGGGTGTGGTGGCTCACGCCTGTAATCCCAGCACTTTGGGAGGCCAAGGCGGGTGGATCACCTGAGGTTGCAAGTTCGAGACCAGGCTGGCCAACATGGTGAAACCCTGTCTCTACTAAAAATACAAAAATTAGCTGGGTGTGGTGGTGCATTCCTGTAATCCCAGCTTCTCGGGAGGCTGAGGCAGGAGAATTGCTTGAACCTAGGAGGTGGAGGTTGCAGTGAGTGAGATCATGCCATTGCTCTCCAGCCTGGGCAACAAGAGTGAAACTCTCTCTCAAATAATAATAATAATAATAATAAAGTAAAAAAAAATTTTTTTTAAAGTTTGCTCCTCTATGTTCTTGAACCCTGGTATTTATTATTATTTATCATGATTAGGGCTGTGTTCTTTGAACTACATAAGAAGATGAGAAGAAAATCCATTTCCTGACACCAAATTTCTAGTGACTGTTAACTCTTTCTCATTCTGATTTACTCATATATGAGCCTTTGCCAACACTCATGAAATAACATTGATCCCTTGTAGAACTGGCAGAAAACAGCAGGTTATATGGCAGACTTGTCTTTTCGGTTGGCTGATGGAATTTCTAGAACAAAAATAGGAAGCACTGAATGCTAGGTTTCACTGAATAAGAAACAAGAGAAGTGTTACACACAAAACTAGTGTTTGTGTGTGTGTTTGACTGTCTGTGTGTGCATGTAAATGCTAGGGAGATAATCTTAGCTCTTTGATGCTGCAGAAGTAATATTAGGACAATTTGCAGAAACACTCCTTCATCATTATGTCATGTTGCACCCAGAGAAACCTGGATGTCTACTGGATTCTTGGGAATTCATCATAATATGAAGGTCTGCTTTTTTGTTTGCCTCTTGAAAAGGAGAGAATTTTAAATAATTAAATATCTGTAGCTCTCTTCTGACTAACAACAACACGACTGAAACACAGTTTTTTTTGTAAAAACTGTGGGATGAGCTTATTTAACACAGAATTCCTCTGAGGAATTAAACATTTAATCCTGAAGACAGAACACCCTCATGTGATACATACTCAATTCAGAAAACCTAAAAATATATAAAGTATCTGTTTAAACCTGCACTGTCCAATATGGTTACCATTAGCCACACTGGCTATTGAATGCTTGAAATTGCCCAGTCCAAGTTAAGAGTGTTGTAAGTGTAAAATACATATCAGATTTGGCCAGGCACAGTAGCTTGCGTCTGTAATCCCAGTACTTTGGGTGGCTGAGGTGGGTGGATCACAAGGTCAGGAGTTCGAGACCAGCCTGACCAACATGGTGAAACCCCATCTCTACTAAAAATACAAAAATTAGCCTGGCTTGGTGACACACACCTGAAATCCCAGCTACTTGGGAGGCTGAGGCAGGAGAATTGCTTGAACCTGGGAGGCTGAGGTTGCAGTGAGCCGACATCGGGCCACTGCACTCCAGCCTGGGTGACAGAGCGAGAATCCTTCGCAAAAAAAAAAAAAAAAAAAAAAAATATATATATATGTAAATATATATATACATACACACACCAGATTTCAAAGATGTGTAATACTATTTTTTAAATATAAAATATCTCACTAATAATTTTATAATTGATAGCTTCTTAAAATAAGTTTTTGGATATACAAAGTGATTTAAATATATTATTGAAACTGGACATAAAAGATAGCAACAACAAACACTGGGGACTATGGGGAGGGGTGGGAGGGAGGGCAGAAAGATTTGAAAAGCTACCTCTTGGGTACTATGCCTACTACCTGGGTGATGGGATCAATTGCACTCAAAACCTCATGCAATTTACCCAGCATCATGTAGTATACCCATGTAACAAACCTGCACGTGTACCCCCAAATCTAAAATAAAAATTGAAATTACATAAAAATATAAATATTGACTTTTTTTAATGCAACTACTGCAAAAGGTAACACTACAAAATGGCTGTCATTTAAAACTTGTATTATCTCTTGATTGGACAGAATTGTCTAAAGACAATGTTATCCATTTAGGTGCTGTTCTGGGAGAATCCCAGAAGCAGAGAACACGGAGCATGATCTGCCAGTAATTAAGTTTCATGCTGTGAGTGGACTTGACAGAATGCATTTCTATGCATGATCTCCTTTGATCTTTACAACATCCCATTTTACAAAATCATTATTAACATCATTTTTAAGCCATTGAATGGCAGACAAATCATGCTTGGAATTGCCCTAGGCCTTCCATTTCAACAGAATGTAAAGGAATCTTTACTGCGTTAGGCACAAAACATTCAATGTTACTGTTTGTCTAGTCAAATATTTCTTAATGGAGTAAAACACAAGCTTCTGAGTTGAGAAAGCCTCAGTGAAAGGATAAAGTACCTGATTCCCAGTTTCTGTACAGTCAATGTCCCTAACCCAAGGTTACTTCTCATTTGGTACTAATTTTCCTTTTGCAACTTGCTGCAGTTCTGATAGTGGAGTATTGTAGATTATTGTCTCCTCACAGGGTATGCAGAAGTTAGAGAAAAACAACACTGAAACTGAAGCAGTAATTTGAAAGAAAAAAAATCAAAATGACCAAAAAAAGACCTATTATCCCAACAGAGAATTTCAAGAGAGGAGTTGAAGTGAAAAAGGGAAAATGGGGCACATGCACCTGAGTCTTGACTTTGCTGCCCATTTGCTTTCATTTTCAGTATTCTAGAGCCCCTCATGAATGTTTGATAAAATAATTCATATAGAAATACATATATTTCTTTTTTCCTGGATACAAACATGGAAACAGCTTAAGATTTGGAAATTCTAGACAAGGTTGCCAGGCTAAAGAAATGTCTTCTCAGCAAGAAAATTTAGAATGTTCTTGTAATTGGGCCTGGTGCGATGGCTCCTGCCTGTAATCCAAGCACTCTGGGAGGCCTACCTAGGCAGGTGGATTGCTTAAACCTAGGATTTAAAGACCAGCCTGGGCAACACGGTGAAACCCACAGTCTACAAAAAAAATACAAAAAAAAAAAAAAAAAAAAATTTAGCCAGGCATGGTGGTGCTCGCCTGTAGTCCCATCTACTCAGGGTGCTGACATGTGGAGTCACTTCAGCCTAGAGAGGTTGAGGCTGTAGTGAGCTCTGATTGTATAACTGTACTCCAGCCTGGATGACAGAGTGAGACCCTGCTTAAAAGAAAGAAAAGAAAGAAGAAAGAAAGAAAGAAAGAAAGAAAGAAGAAAGAAAGAAAGAAAGAAAGAAAGAAAGAAAGAAAGAGAAAGAAAGAAAGAAAGAGAAAGAAAGAAAAAAAAAGTTCTTACAGCACTTTAATAATGGAGTTGACTCAAGATACAAACCCGGGTTTTTCTAATTTCAAAATGTTTCTTGCATACACCACACCCCCATATATATGCTCATACAGTATAATAGTTACTTCACTGTATGTTTCTTTTTTTCATATTTCTTGTGATTTAAAAATAACCCTCGCCCAATACATATAAATAATATCAAATCAAAAATGACTTGTAAATGCCACAGCATATAGCACGTTGGAATTTCTTAGGTTTTAAAACTAATAACTTCCTAAGTTTAAGACTTTAAATAAGGACGGGCTTAGTGGCTCACGCCTGAAATCCCAGCACTTTGAGAGGCCGAGGCAGGTGGATCACCTGAGGTCAGGAGGTCGAGACCAACCTGATCAACATGGCGAAACCCTGTCTCTACTAAAAATACAAAAATTAGCCGGGCATGGTTGCGGGGGCCTGTAATCTCAGCTTACTTGGGAGGCTGAGATATGAGAACAGCTTGAACTCAGGAGGCGGAGGTTGCAGTGAGCCGAGATCGCGCCGTTGCACTCCAGCCTGGGCGACGGAGTGAGACTCCGTCCAAAAACTTTAAATAATTTATGTAATGAGAGCACTTCATGGAAGACTTCAGTGGAATATACAAAGGAGAGAGTGATACAAACATGTACATTACCTTTATCAGACTTTCAAAAACTCCCAAAAATTGGAGATATGTAAGCTTCTGGGATTGGCGTATAAGTGCTGTATAAGGGAGTGATAATTAGGCAGAACTCAAAAGATGCTGGCTGAAACCCAGGGTTGAACCAGGGAACTTTAAGATCTTCAGTCTAACGCTCTCCCAACTGAGCTATTTCAGCTACTCTAAGCACACACCCTTAGTCATTTCTTCAAAATATAAAAACGTCATTTGTAGAGTGAGTGTATTTTCTAATGCCTAATTCTGTTTTGTTCAATATCAATACAAAAATTAGCCAGGGGTGGTGGTGCGCGCCTGTAATCCCAGCTACTAGGGAGGCTGAGGCAGGAGAATTGCTTGAACCCGGGAGGTGGCGGTTGCAGTAAGCCGAGATCACGCCACTGCACTCCAGACTGGGCGATAGAGGGAGATTGTCTAAAAAAAATAAATTAAATAAATAAAATAAGTGACAGGAAAAGAAAGAAAAGAAGGATCTCTTATGTCCTCCAGTACATTCTATCTCTTCCTTAGAGTTTTTAAAATTGTGGTCTCCACACTGGTGCATAACAACTCTTTTTTGTTGTTGTTTTCGAGACAGGGTCCCGCTCTGTTGCGTGGGCTGGAGTGCAGTGGTGCAATCTCGGCTCGCGGCAACTTCTGCCTCCCCGGCTCAGTGGATCCTCCCACTTCAACGGAGGGAGAGGGAGTCTCGCTCTGTCGCCCAGGCTGGAGTACAGCGGCGCGGAGTAGCTGGGATTACAGGCGCGCGCCACCACCCCTGGCTAATTTTTGTGTTGATATTGAACAAAAAAGAATTAGGCATTAGGAAATACGCCCACTTTACAAATGAAGATTTTTATATTTTGAAGAAATTGCTAACGGCACGTGCTTAGAGTAGCCAAAATTGCTCAGTTGGGAGAGCGTTAGACTGAAGATCTAAAGGTCCCTGGTTCGATCCCGGGTTTCACCAGGTTTGTTTGGTTTTTTTAGTTCTGCCTAATTATCACTCCCTTATACAACACTTGCACGCCAATCCCAGAAGTGTATATATCTCAATATAAATTCTTACGTTAAGTCAAAAGTGTAAAAACATTGAACTTCTCTGGTTAGACATAGGAACAAATTCAGATGTTTACAGAATTTCGGAAACAACCCTCTCTGGAATGAGAAAATTGCTGAGGCCGACGATGATTTGCAAACTGAATTTTAATAAAACCTTTTCTATGTCTTAACAGTTTTCAAACTCAATCTCCTGAGAGTCGAGGCTTTCTATTTTTAGCCAAAATACGGTGGGAGGGTCAATTAGGATATATTTTTCAATTATTTCCTCAAAAAAAGTTTTAGATTCTCTTACAGACTTTTTTCTCCCCTTGTAAGGTCTGAGCCTTCTCAGACAGGAAACAACATTCCTCTACTCTAGTTTTATCCCCGCCACGCGTCTCTCCCCAGCTGAGTGCAGCCTCAGCCTATGGTGCAAAAATGTTTAAAGCTGAGCATACAGAGAAGGAAAAGAAGAAAAAAAAAATAGAAAGTGATGTGGAAAGATCTACATATGAATCACAACACAGTGTTTAAAATGTGCGTAAACGGGTCTAGGAGTGCGCTGCACTATTGTGAAAAGTTCATTCTGAAAGCTGGGCGCAGTGGCTCATGCCTATAATCTCAGAACTTCGGGAGGCCGAGGCGGACGGATCACTTGAGATCAGAAGTTGGAGACTATCCTGGTGAAAATGGTGAAACCCCGTCCCTACTAAAAATACAAAAATTAGCCGGGCGTGGTGGGGGGCTCCTGTAATCTCAGCTAATCGGGAGACTGAGGCAGGAGAATCGCTTGATCCCAGGAGGTGGAGGTTGCAGTGAACCGAGATCGCGCCACTGCACTGCAGCCTGGGCGACAGAGCGAGACTCCGTCTCAAAAAAACAAAAACAAAAAACAAAAACAAAAGCAAACAAAAAACAAAAACAAACAAACAAAAAGTAAACGGGAGGAGCCGAGCGCCAGCTTGCGGGGAGACGGAAGAGGCGGGGTGCCGTGAAGTGGAGGAAGCAAAGGACAAAAGGGAGAGAGGTAGAGGGCAAGGAAAAGCATCCTCAAGATTATTAGTACTTGGATAGACTGGATGGTAGAGTGAGTCTGATCGCCACATCTCTCCGTCCCTTCCTCTGGATAGGAGGGAAGAGAGGTTCCTTTTTGTCCCTAGGGGGGTAGGCTCGACCAGGAAGGGGACCTGGTTCGTTTCGCCCAGGCTGGCACGGCTTCAAGAGCGCCTCACCTCTCTTTACGTTGCTGGACAGACCAGTTGAGCTCTTTGGGTATGCACGTAATGTCGCATTTTTATTTTCAGTTCAGGAAATGCTGATATTGGAGCTTCTGAGGGAGCTGCAGTGATTTCCCGATTTCCTGCGCGCCTGTGTGGAAAGTTAGAAGCGGAATCTACCGGCAGCTTTGAGACTAAGCATGACGGTGGAAACAGCTAATTTTATTAGCTTTTGTCTGAAATGCAAAAGATGAGAAAGAAAATTCCCGTTTGTTTGCTCCACATACTTCTCTTAGAAGCCTATGGAAAGCCAACTTTCCCCCTGAAGAAACTCCTCCTGGCATTTGCAAAGAGCTCCTTTACTCCTCTTGTCCAGCTCTTCTCTCAAAAGGACTCTGCAGAGCTGGACAGCGGCTGCGGAAAGGCGAAGTTGTTGTACCCGAGCGAGTTAGAGAAATGCCACACTTTGAGACGAATTTAAGAGTCCTTTATTAGCCGGCGACCAAAAGAGGACTAACGCTCGATATTCTCTCGGCCCCGAGGAAGGGGCTTGATTTTCCTTTATACTTTGGTTTAGAAAGGGGAGGGGGAGCTTAGTTGCAGCAATTCTACAGAAGTAAAAGCATGCAAAAAAATTAAAAAGACAAATGGTTACAGGTAAACAAACAGTTCCAGGTGCAGGGGCTCTAAATCTATCATAAGGCATTAGGTATGGGGGTTCTGCCAGACACAAACTCAAGGCTTTATGGTGTTATCTCTTGAGTGAAATCCTGGGAACTTCGTGCATTGTTTGCTTCAGTACCTTATCAGTTAATTGGACTCTGATATGTTGAGAGTCAGCTTACACAAGTTAACTGCTTGAGGAAGGGGGTGGGTAAGGAGTCCTTGATGTTTTGTAAATGAAGGAGCCAAATGGAGTTCGTCCAGCTTTCTCAGCTAAGGGACAGCCTATTCATGTGGAAATAAGGCTAGGTGATTAACGGAGAGTCTAAAAACAACGTTAGGTATTACATTCCCCACTTGTGTTTTTGGGGAATCAAATCGTTGATTCCTCAGTTATAATAAGGGGGTCATATTGAGTTCTAAGATACATAAATTTGACAGAAGCTATGCGTTGTTTTACAAAGTTAAGAAACTAATTTAATATACACGGCCTGAAAATTAAGCTTAATAGTAGGATGAGGAGGGGTCCAACTAACCTAGTGACTAGAGTAGTTAGCCATGGATTCCAGTTAAACATGCTTTGATACCAGGGGATGTTATTTTCTCTTTCTTGTTGGCATCTATCTAGATTTTCTCGAACCTTTTGGAGAGTATCTTTTATGACTCCAGACTGATTGGCATAGAAGCAACAACTTTCTCCTAGAGCTGCGCATAAACCTCCTTGAGAGAGGAATAGTAGATCTAAGCCTCAGCGGTTTTGAAGAACTACTTCAGCTAGAGACTCTACCTGGGAATGTAACAAATCTACGACAGACTGGAGGTTACTTAAATTAGCATCTACCTGTTGAGATAGGGCCATTATTCCAGTTTCTCCTTGAACTAGGGCTGCTGATCTGGCTATGCTAAGGCTGGCCAAGAAGGGAACTAGGAGCAGGGCAGCTAGCGAAACCTGGGATCTAACTCAGGGGGAGAAATGAGAAGTTGTCCTTCTGGTCCACTGTACACGTATACCCAGGGAAGTACATGAACTTACATGCACAGGAGAGGTCCTGGTTCAGTTCCATTAATGCAGTGAGTGAGACTTGAAGTGCAGGCCAACCAGGTATTGTTAGGCACTTGGTAAGAGACTGAGGTGCTTATGGAAGTAAGCAGGGACTGATTACAAGTAGTCTGAAAGGGAGAAGCAGATAAGTTATACCCGGTACTAATTAGACAAGAAGCGTTTCCAGACACATCCCTTAGTGTGAGGGCACAGGGTCGTGCACGACAAGATAAAGGGCCACTTTTAAGTGTGGCCTCTACTCCTAAGCCTACATAATAAGGGGGTTTTGCTTTTAGACATAGCCAACAATCTTGGGCTAGTTTAGGCTGGGTGAGGTTAAGAAGGTGATGTACCCTGCCTAGTATGGACATCAGGCTGTGTTGAAGATATTGTTGCTGCAGCTGGGGTTTAGGAACTAGGAATGGTGGCGGAACAGTTAAATCGACCTTGTCAGGGTGTTTTTGGAACATAGGGTCGCCTAGATCAGTTAAAGGCCTGATTGGCTTGGGTGGGCTCCATGAGACCAGGATTTTCTTCTGGATGGCGAACATAGTCTTAACATCAAATCCTGGGATATAAAGCCTTAATCCTTATGACATGCCATAATACCATCGAGCTGAATTAGGGTCATGGACAGTTATAGTAAGAGGATTACAATTTTTTCTAGTACACAATCTAGGATGGGAAGCACGACTTATGGAAAGAGTTGAAGATCCGGTTGATCTCCCAGAGTTAAGTGTCTAAAGTTACACGTGTCCAATCAGGGCAGAAAAACTGGTAAATATCTCAACAGCTAGAGTCAGGGTGATTTCCAGGACAGAGGTAAAAGTCAACATTCTGAAGTCCTTTTTCCGCACCTTT
The DNA here is from genome assembly GCF_000001405.40 of Homo sapiens. Lineage (NCBI taxonomy): Eukaryota > Metazoa > Chordata > Mammalia > Primates > Hominidae > Homo > Homo sapiens. The sequence goes on from NT_167245.2 coordinate 33,914, forward strand.
GGAGCTCCCACATCCAGTCTGGCTCCCGGAGTGTCCAAATCCTGCCAAAAGGTCAACGCTTCCTGCCCCCTTGACTGTCAGATTGTGTTACTCTTTGTAGGTACGGGCTGGTTCTGGGAACAGTGCACATAAATCAACTGCAAAGGAGACTTCCTTGGAGGTTCCTGCCCTCCAAGTACTGTTTGCGAATATACGTCTTGTCATGAAATAGGTGAGAAGAAGGGAATAGGAAGGTGCAGAGGACATGACAGGCAAAAACCAAAAAGAGAAGTAAATAAAAAGAATTAATCTAATGGCTTCACCCGACTTAGGCACAGTTTTAAGGGGCCTGACCCAGGCTTGGGGACCTATGTTTCTTGCTGGGCTTTGTTGGCCTTTTTGATGCGGGAGTGACGAATCCAAGCAGGAATGCCATCCACCTTCAGAGCTGTTGGCATGGTGAGGATGACAGTATGAGGTCCTATGTAAGCAGGAGTGAGTCCTTCTCTCTGGAACTTTTTAACAAACACCAGGTCACCTGGCTGGAATGAGTGGCAGGGCCCCATCTGGTCAGGAACCGGATTGGGATGGGCTCCTCGGAAAAGTGGCTGGATGATATCTTGTACCTGTTGGAGAGACTTTAGCTACTGTAATAAATTAGCTTGTGATATTTCTGCCAAATTGGTATCCCTTAGCTTAGGCAAGATAGGTGGAGCCTTCCTATACATGATTTCAAAATGTGAAAACCTAGCCCAGTAAGGAGTGCACCTTACTCTAAGAAAGGCTAAAGGAAGGAGCCTTACTCAGTTCTCACCGGTCTCTAAGATTAACTTTGTAAGAGTGCTTTTTAGGGTGCGGTTCATGCGTTCTACCTGCCCAGAGCTCTGGGGTCGATAGGCACAATGGAGCTTCCATTGAATGTGTAATGCCTTACTGACTGACTGAGCTATGGACGAGGTGAAGGCCAGTCCGTTATCAGACCCTATGGCAGCAGGCAGCCCATGTCGAGGGATGATTTCATTGAGTAAAAACCTAACTACCATGGTGGCAGTCTCATTCTTGGTGGCAAATGCCTCAGTCCATACGGAGAAGGTGTCTACTAGTACTAGAAGGTATTTGTACCTAGCCCGGTGTGGTTTTATTTCTGTAAAGTCAACTTCCCACCTTTCTCCTGGCAAGTTTCCTCAAAGACGGTGGCCTGGGCTGGGTTTAGCACCTTGCTTGGCGTTTACCTGGGCACAAGTTGTACACCGGAGAGCTGCTTGATCTGCTAAGCTTTGAAGATAGGGAATCTTAAAATGGCTCTAGAGGAGCCGGGCCAGTTTTGCTCCTCCTAAATGGGTGGTAGAATGCAGGCGACTGATTAAAGTTTCCCCGAGAGAGCTCGGGGTATGAAGATTCTGGAGTCAGGAAGAATCCACCAACCTTCCTGATTTTTATTGGCCCTGAGATCTGAAGCTAGTTTTTTTTCTTCCGTTGAGTACGCGGGATTGTAGGGCAGATCTGGCTGTGGAAAGGAGACTGTGGGTAATAAGTTTAGAGGCATGACTGGAAGTCTGGCTGCATCCCGGGCCGCTGAGTCAGCTTTCTGGTTACCACGGGCAATGGCCGTGTTTTCTCCTGGATGTCCTTTGCAGTGGATTACAGCCACCTGCTGAGGGAGCCATACGGCTTCAAGCAGGGCTAGAATTTCTTCTTTGTTTTTGATAGTCTTTCCTGCTGAGGTGCCCACGCTCCTGATAGATGGCTCCATGTACATGTACAGTAGTTAAAGCATACCTGCTGTCAGTGTAAATGTTAATAAGTTTATCCTTACCCCATCGGAGAGCCTGAGTGAGGGCGATCAATTCAGCTTTTTGTGCCGAGGTATTTGCCGGTAAAGCCTGGGCCCATAGCACATCTGTCTTTGTAGTAATGGCTGCACCAGCCTTTCGTACTCCCTGTTTTGAGAAAGCTGCTACCGCCTGTAAACATGGCGGCGTCCACCTTCTTTAGGGGCACATCTTGGAGATCAGGTGGGCCAGTTTCTGTAGTTTCTAACAGTTCCTGGCAGTCATGGACAGGTGTAGTGAAGTCTGGATCAGGGAGTAAAGTAGCTGGATTTAAACACCTTCTGGGAGAGAAAGTCAAACGAGGCTGATCTAACAGTAAACTCTGATACTGCAGGATGCGAGCATTTGACATCCATTTGCCAGAAGCACTTCGTAATAAAGTCTCTACGGCATGAGGAGCGGTAAAGGTTAAATTTTGACCTAGAGTTAACTTATCAGCCTCTTAGACTAGGCTTGCTGTTGCCACTATGACTCGCAGACAAGTTGGCCATCCAGAGGCCACAGGATCCAGCCTCTTAGACAAATAGGCCACTGGGCATCTCCAGGGTCCTAAAGTCTGAGTAAGCACCCCCTTAGCAACTCCCTGGCTTTCGTGGACAAACAGGTGAAACGGCTCTGGGATATTTGGGAGGGCTGGAGCAGGGGCTTCAGTTAATGCCTTTTTCAGATTTTGAAAAGCCTGTTCTTCTGTGTCCATCTAAACTAGCCGGCTATTCCCTCCTGTAGCAGTGTACAGGGGCTTCGCAATCTCCGCGAACCCCGACATCCATAGGCGACAGTATCCTACGGCCCCCAGGAATTCACGTACCTGTCTCTTGGTGGTGGGAGTGGGGATTCGTAGGATGGCTTCTTTCCGGGCACTGGTGAGTGCCCTTTTTCCTTGGCTTATGTCGTATCCTAGGTAGGACACTGTGGGAAGACAAAGCTGGACCTTCTTGGCTGAGACTCGATACCCGAGCTCCTGAAGGAGGTAAAGTAGGTCCCTAGTATGTTGCAGGCAACTGTCTTTAGTTTCAGTAGCTAATAAAAGGTTGTCCACCTACTGAAGAAGAGTACAGTTAAGGTGACTAGCTTGGAATGGTATAGGATCCTGCTGGAGGGCCTCTCCAAAAAGGGTGGGGGAATTTTTAAAACCTTGAGGTAACTGAGTCCAAGTCAATTGGGTAGTGTCTCCTGAGCTAGGATCTGTCCATTCAAAAGCAAAGATCAGTTGGCTCTTGGGGGCCAGAGAAATAGCAAGGAAGGCATCCTTTAGGTCAAGGACAGTGTATATACTGTAAGTTCTGGCGGGAGCAGGTTGAGTAGAGTATAAGGATTGGGGACAGTTGGATGGACAGTAACAGTCTGTTTGTTAACTTCCCTTAAGTCCTGTACCGGCTGGTAATCATTCGTTCCGGGTTTCTGGACCGGCAAAAATGGAATATTCCAGGCGGACTGACACGGTGTGAGTATGCCAGCTTGTAACAGTCATTGAATATGGGGATTAATCTCCTGTCTAGCCTGCTGACTCATAGGATATTGCTTTACCTGGACAGGCAAGGCAGTGGCCAGGAGTTCTACAACCACTGGTGGATGGTGTTTAGCCAGTCCTGGGGGGTTTGACTGGCCCAAACTCTGGGAAAGAGTGTCTGTAAGTCCAACAGGAGAGGATTAGTATTATTTTCCAGTGGTTGTGATGGTGACACTAAAAGATTTTCCTCTGACAGAGGGGTAGTTAGCAGGAGTTGGGCAGTGGGGGGCGCTGTATTTCCTAGCATGACGTTAGCCTGCTGGGCTGAGAAGGAGATAGAGGCCTGTAACTTATGGAGCAGATCTCCTCCGAGGAGAGGAAAAGGACACTCTGGAACCACAAGAAATGACTGTCTCACTCTTTTCTGTCCCAAGCTCACTTCTCGTGAGTGTGTGACAGGATATTCCTGAATAGCTCCAGTAGACCTTTGTACAGCCACTCTTTTATTAGAGACACTGCCCAAGGGGGTCTGTAGTACCGAGTGCTCCGCCCCGGTAGCTACTAGGAAGCGTACAGGCTGGCCCCTCACTGTAGCGGTCACCGTGGGCTCCTGGGGGCCAAGAGAGAGGGAGTCCTGGCTCCATCAGTCATCAGACTCTTCCGTTGCGGGGAGGGTGAGGGCCTTTTTCTTTTCTGATTTTTCCTCTGGCCGTAGTGGGCATTCCTTTTTCCAGTGCCCAGTCTGCTTGCAATAAGCACATTTGTCCTTTTCTAGGGGAGCCTGTTCTCCTCTTTTGCCCTTCTGGTAGGGACCTGAGGTTCCCTGGCTATTCCTCTGTGATGGGGGCCTTCCCTTCTTGACCTCTCCGATGGCCGCAGCTAAGATTTTTGCTTGTCTTTTGTATGCTTTATCAGCTGCTGCCTGTGCTGTTTGTTTTCTTTTTTCAAACTCTCGATTGTCAAAAACTTTTTGGGCTATCTCTAAAAGCTGAGTGATATTCATCCCAGGAAATCCCTCCAGTTTTTGGAGTTTTCTTTTAATATCAGGGGCTGCCTGAGCCACAAATGCCAAATTAAGAGCACGGCTATTTTCGGGAGCCGCCGGGTCAAAAGAGGTGTAAGTCCGATAGGCCTCCTGGAGGCGTTCTAAAAACGCTCCCGGTGACTCATCAGGCCCTGTGCGACTTCAGTCATCTTAGACAAGTTTATGGGTTTCTGAGCAGCTCCTTTGATACCTGCAAGGAGATACCGGTGAAAATCGTCCAAAGCTTTCTTCCTACCCGAGGAATTCGTGTGCCAGTTAGGCCGGGTAGAGGGAAAGACCTCCTCAAGAAAGTCTCTAGCTTCCTCCTCTGGCCTATTGGCTGATGTGAGGAAATACTTTCTGGCCTCTCTTCGGATATGTTCCCTCTCTTCAGAGGTAAAAAGGGTCAAAAGGAGCTGCTGACAGTCATCCCAGGTGGGCCGATGGGTCCGGAGCACAGACTCCATCAGTGAGATCAAGACCTGGGGCTTTTCAGAGAAGGGAGGATTATGAGCCTTCCAGTTACAGAGGTCAGAAGGAGAAAAAGGGACATAAACCAAGAATGGGGCTGAGCGCTCATCACCCGGAGGGACTTGTGCTTCTTTCCGCGGTAGAGGGGGGGCTACTTCCTCCTGCCGCGGCCGCAATCGAGAGGCAATAGGCGGCGAGCCTACAGGGGATGTAGTCGAGGAGACAAGGGAAGATTCTAAGGGAGCAGGACGGTTATAAGGCGGCGGAACTGAGTGGGGGAGACTCTCCTCTTCTTCAGAGGGAGGCAGTACAGGGTGAGCCGAACAGACTGAGGGTCCAGGCGGAAGTGCGGTCTGGCTCAAAACGACCTTGGAGGCAGAATTATGAATGGCGCATGAGCGGAGCCATGGTGGGGAGCTTCTGACCAAACTCAGCCATTGATCAATGTGGGGAAACTGATCGGGGTGGCCGGGAGTTCCAGCAACAACCCGCCACACAGCCTGAACAATTGCTAGGTTCAGTGACCCTACTGGGGGCCATCCGACTCCAAACTTTGGCCATTCTACTTCGCAGAGTGTCCGGAGTTTGCCTTTTTAAAGGCGGACCCCATAATCCTCTGAGAAGCCTAGAGAAAAATTCTGCAGCATACATTGGAGGGGGCTCCAATCCTTACAGGGCCGGGAAGAGGAGTTTCCCATTTTTGGAGGCAGTTTGACAAGGTTTGAGCAGGGATATCAAACCCAGCACGGACAGAAAAACTCATTCCCTAGGGGGCTGGAGTATCGGAAGAACAGAATTAACATAACCAGAAGGAGCCGAAAGACAACAATAGCTCACACTACTTGCCACAGGACGGTTAACTAGCTTTAAGATTGAGGGAGGTCGGGCGCAGTGGCTCACGCCTGTAATCCCAGCACTTTGGGAGGCTGAGGCGGGCGAATCACGAGGTCAGGAGATCGAGACCATCCTGGCTAACACGGTGAAACCCCGTCTCTACTAAAAATACAAAAAATTAGCTGGGTGTGGTGACGGGTGTCTGTAGTCCCAGCTACTTGGGAGGCTGAGGCAGAAGAGTGGCCTGAACCTGGGAGGCGGAGCTTGCAGTGAGCTGAGATCGCGCCACTGCACTCCAGCCTGGGCGACAGAGAAGACTGTCTCAAAAAAAAAAAGAATAATTATCCAAGATTGAGGGAGGAGGACTAGAGGCCAACCTTAGGTCTCCTTGGCTGGATGGACCTAGGCGTCCTCCCTCTTTCCCTGGACCTGTAGCCTAAATACTTTTGGTGTCTCCACGACTCAAAGGCAAATAGCTCAAATTCGGCCTTTTCTTTTAAGAGTTTGAGGAGTGAGAGCAGAGCCAAGTCCTGGAGACGCTGAACTTGCTGTGACACGGGAAAACGAGATGTACGGGGTAAGTGGTAGGGATGAGGAGGAAAAAGGGCCACTCGGATCTTTCCTAGGGTAGGAGAGTAGCCACAGAGGAATAGAATAAGGGTTTAAACGAAGTAAAGTGGTACGGGCGTAGGTTTCTCTGCACAGTGCCGTATTTAAGGGCACAGAAAAAGTTACGGGATGACAAAAGAGGTGAGCAAGGAGGTCTGCAGGGTGGCTATTTTGAACCTACCACCGGTTTAGTCTGGAGGTGGCCCAGTCACTTGGACATGGGGTATGACAATCTAAATGCCAGCAATCTTCATGGTGCCAGAAATCCCAAACAGGCGAATGTTCCTCACACTCGTTCCCGTTCCCGTAACAACACCTGATTTGTTTCTGACAGAAAAGGCAGGACTGGGATGGCCAGCCTAAGCGATTGATGAGAAATTTAACCTCCTGTGATAAAAAATCAACACTAAAGACCTTGAAGAAGTTCCTGCCCAGACGTCTTGGGCAGTATCGATGACCTGACATACGAAACTTTGACAACCACTAAACAGGACAATAGACACCGAGCAGGACAACAAACACAAAACAAACAATAGACCCTTGGGTATATAAACAATTATGGTAGGTTTTTATTAGACAGACAAGGGGAGGGGGTCCCATGATGGGATCAGTCAGATGCCTGCCTGGCCGCTCCCCCTGAGGGGACTTGGGCTTCTCTTAGCATTGGCAGGCAGGTATAAACCCCCGGCTCGGATGGAGCTATGCCCGATGCTGCCTTAAGCCTTATGAGGTCGCCACGGAACGGCAGGTGAGGGCCCACTCGAACTCCGTAGCTTTCGCCGTGGAGCTACAAACTGGGGATCCAGAGGCAGGCCCCTGGACTCCTCAGTCGTGCACACATTCACAAAGAGTTTATAACAATTTTTGTTATTTCCCGTTCTAAACAAAGGTCCCAGAAGACCTGAACGAGAGGAGGAGAAGAGATAGAGCAAGGGGGAGAGAAAGAAAAAGAGGAGGAGAGAGTGAGAGACTAGTCTTAATGGAGAGGCCGGCCTGCCAGAAACCAGGGCTCTATCCTCCAGCGTCCTGGAGTATGGATAGAGTCAAAGAGAGGGACACCGTCGTCAGGGCTGCCTCCCTCTCACCAAACCAGAACCAAAAGGCGCCTAACAGAAAAACCAGGGCTCTGTCCTCCAGCGCCCTGGAAAAGCGGGCAGTGTCAAAGACAGGGATGCCCTCGTCAGGGCTGCCTCCCTCTCACCAAACAGAAGTCAAATCTAACTTACCTGACCCCGGGGTCAGAAGCTGAGGACTCAGAGGTTGAATTTTGTGGGCACACACACACGGTAGTCGATCCGCTGTCCTCCGGAAGACGGTCGCCTTTCGGGGACCTGGAAAATTTTTTTTCAGGTGGCTCCTCGCCTATAAGCCGGCCGTCCCTCCGGGGGAGCCCGGAGCTAGCCCGGCTCTCGCCCAGTGGCGAATATATCTCGCTGGGGCTTCCAAATGTTGTACCCGAGCGAGTTAGAGAAACGCCACACTTCGAGACGAATTTAAGAGTCCTTCATTAGCCGGCGACCGACAGACGACTAACGCTCGAAATTCTCTCGGCCCCGAGGAAGGGGCTTGATTTTCCTTTATACTTTGGTTTAGAAAGGGGAGGGGGAGCTTAGTTGCAGCAATTCTACAGAAGTAAAAGCATGCAAAAAAATTAAAAAGACAAATGGTTACAAGGAAACAAACAGTTCCAGGTGCAGGGGCTCTAAATCTATCATAAGGCGTTAGGTATGGGGGCTCTCCCGGACACAAACTCAAAGCTTTATGGTGTTATCTCTTGAGCGAAATCCTGGTAACTTCGTAAATTGCTTGCTTCAGTACCTTATCAGTTAATTGGACTCTTTGATATGTAAGAGTCAGCTTACACAAGTTAACTGCTTGAGGAAGGGGGTGGGTAAGGAGTCTTTGACGTCTTGTAAATGAAGGAGCCAAAAGGAGTACTTCCGGCTTTCTCAGCTAAGGAAGAGCCTATTCATGTGGAAACAAGGCTAGGCGATTAAGGGAGAGTCTAAAAACAAGGTTAGGTACTACAAAGTCGCGGTAAAATCGGTGTTAACTACGTGTGCAGCCACCTTTTCCTTAGTGCTATTCCTGAAGGAAATAATGTATACAGTGATCTATTTCCAAGACAAAGTGCCTTAAATTGGCTTAGGTCAGCAAAGTACAGAAGAAACAGGGTATACTAGGTCCCTGCTTGGATAGCGGATGCCTGCTTGTCGCCCCCCTCTTTCCTCCCCCTTCCCATCCCCCATCCTTGGTGGCCTTCACCCAAACAAAAACAGTTTAGTCTAAGATATAAGTTTACTAGTCTGCAAAATAGCTCACTTTGTCTGTTCTTATCAGCCTGCCCAGCTACTTAGGTCATAAGTCAAACACTTAAAGAGCCCTTGAGCTAACCAGGATTGCAATGCATTGTGGGCTGCAACAAAATGCAGCAAGACAACCCTAAAAAAGAGACACCTAAAGCCTTTGCCTAACAATCAGTAGGCAAACGCCGAGAAAATTGTAACCCCATAGCACTCAGCCTATGAGGAACCTGGGGAGGGACTTGCGCACTAGGGGACAAATTGCTTGTTGAAACTGTTCTGGGTGTGCCTGCACGCCAGACACCCGATCTTGATCTCTCAAGACCGTCATTAAAAGTCTCACTTTCGCTGTTCTCCGGGTCTCTGAGTCCATTCTTTGGGTTTAGATGGATGAGTTTATTTTCTCACATAACAGCTGCAGAGGTGGTACAGGTGAATCCCTCTCAAGTCAAGTGGGTTAACCTCAAAATTGACTTAAGGGGTGGTTTGTGATCGCCTGGTAGATGGTGGACGGTTACAGCTTTTAGAAAGTGAGTAAAAGAGATGATGCATACAGAAGCCCCACTGGGTTGCTTAGCTTCTGCACATGGAGAAAGAGGCTGCTTTTCTGCCTTCTAGGTGTTTAGTAACTTAATTTTTAATCCTTTGATGAAATAGAGTGGAAAATAAAAGGAGATTTTCTTTTAACAAAATAGTGTTAAGATGCTTGCCAAGTATCCCCCTGTGAATTTCTGCTTAGCACTGTGATATCAGAATTAGAAATTGTGCAGGGTTCTAATCTGGAGATATGGGATGTTCAGTAGCTAAGAAGGAAGTTATTCCTTGAAAGTAAGTACAGTGAGGTAGAAAAGGATCCATTGGGATTGGGAGAATAAAAGTTCATTATTTTTATTTATTAAAAAAAACAAAACAAAACAAAGAAATGAGGTTTTGGCTGGGTGCAGTGGCTCACGCCTGTAATCCCGGCACTTTGGGAGGCCAAGGTGGGCAGATCACGAGGTCAGGAGATTGAGACCAGCTTGGCCAACATGGTGAAACCCCATCTCTACTAAAAATACAAAAAATTAGCCAGGCGAGGTGGCAAGTGCCTGTATTTCCAGCTATTCAGGAGGCTGAGGCAGGAGAATTGCTTGAACCCAGAAGGCGGAGCTTGCAGTGAGCCAAGATCGCTCCACTGCAGTCCAGCCTGGGCAACAGAGTGAGACTTCATCTCAAAAAAAAAAAAAAAAAAAAAAAAAAAAAAAAAAAAAAAAAGAAAGAAAGAAAAAAGAAAAAAAAAAGAAGAAACGAGCTTCTACCCTAGATGGATCTTGGACTCTGGAGTTCAGAGAGCTTGCCATTTCAGACCAGAAACTTCCTTAAAGAACCAAGAGAAGTAATTTTCTCCCTGCTAAATTTCAGCTGAGGTGATTGAGATCTTTTCCTCATTTGTCATTATATTTGTCATTTGTCCTTATGTTTGTAGTTAAATAGCTTGGATTAAGTTTCAGAATTTGTCGGTCTCTAATGGAAAAAGTGACCACCAGCACATCACCAGCAATCATCAGCCACTTGTAGTGGAATCTTTTAGTGAAAGCTTGCAGGACTTTTGCAACCTGGGTGAGGAAGCAGTTAGAAGAAAGTAAGAAACGCAAAAGAACTTGAGCCTTAACCTTCTGATCTGAAATCAGACTTAGGTCACAGAATTCAATGGTTTCTGACTATTTTATTTAAACTGGAAATCGGCGGGATGGCAAGGAATACTACTTGCTTCTATAGTGTGTGATCCACATTAGTGATTTGTGGAACTAATTAGGACAGGGGGATAATTCTAAGCAACAAAGAACTGTAAGTGAATGAACACGAATTATCTCCCTGTATGAGAGAGAAATGCAGAGGCCAACACAATTCCCTTGAATAGGTGGGGAATATCATGGAGAACTTCCTAAGGTGGCTCATAGGAAAAAAAAGAGTGGAAATACTGGAAGTTGAACGCAGGACCTCACGCATGCTAACCACGTGCTCTGTCCCTGAGCTATACCCCCGCAGGAGATCAGGAGCTTGGGAAAATGTTTTGGTGATCTCCGTTGCCTGAGTCTGTGCTCTGTGTCATCAAGACAATCACTGTATGTTTCCAATTCCACTGTTTATGAATTCCCGACACTAAGCGCCCTCTCTCTCTCTCTCTCTCTCTCTCTCTCTCTCTCTCTCTCTCTCTCTCGGGCATGGCTACACCAGGAGAAAGATATCTTGTGGTAAAAACAAAGGCATTGTTCCTGATGTTCCTGATTTGTGGTCAGTCCAAGATCAACTCACCCCAAAGTGGTCTCCCCATCATATTAGACTTTCTGGAGCATAATTCCATTCTATCCCTTGAGTGACCTCCGGCATACAACATTCTCTTGCAAATTTTCTGATTATAACTTTTTTCTTTTGACTCTGGGAAGCATCTTAGTGTTTCCCATAGTCAAAAAATAAAACTCAGGTATGTGTGAAAATACCCTAAAATTCAGTACAAATAGAGGCAAATTAACTGCATTTCAAAAGAATAACATAACCACATTGAAGAGGAAAGAACTGATATAAGAAAATGGTTTACACAGATTGTTGTTCTAATTGTGAGATCAAAAAGAACATCGAACAAATCTTAAACTCTATGTATCAGGATTATTTTTTGTAGAGTGAGGGCTGTAGCAATTCTGATATTTTGTGTGAATTTTAGGATTGGGAAATCGAGTGTCTGTTGTTGGAAACAGACTCTCACTGTGGGAGAAGAAGGAAGGTAAAGAATAGTCCTGTTGATACTGATGGGAATTAGAGGCATCAGTATGAAATTGTACATATGAAATTGTAAAATTTCCCCACAGATCTATCTGCTAACTGGGCCTAGAAGAAATGATACCTCAGAAGCAATGAGCAAAGATAACTCTGTATCTTGATTTTCAAATACCATTCCCTACTAAAAGGAACCAGAGATACTAATAGAAAGTAGCTATTAGTGTCAACTACACAGACTCCAGGACTGTGCCAGGGAAACTGCAAAATGAACCTAAGATATCTTGCCTTGCCAGAATGTAAGTGCTCAGAAATGACGGGGGTGATTTAAAAGGACACAGAAGCCAGCTTGAAGGGAATCTCACTGGCCAAATCTGACACACTTTTAGCATCAGTGATGACAATAACTGATTATCATTCTTGGGAACTTAAACAAATAAATATGGAGGACGGGACGATTTTCCTTACAGTGGTTTGCCAAATGATAAATGTGAAAGTGAGTGCCGGGCGCAGTGGCTCACGCCTTTAATCCCAGCACTTTGGGAGGCTGAGGCGGGTGGATCACGAGGTCAGGAGATCGACACTATCCTGGCTAACACGGTGAAGCCCCCTCTCCACTAAAAATACAAAACCTTGGCCGGGCGTGGTGGCGGGTGCCTGTAGTCCCAGCTACTCGGGAGGCTGAGGCAGGAGAATGGCGTGAACCCGGGAGGCGGAGCTTGCAGTGAGCCAAGATTGCGCCACTGCACTCCAGCCTGGGCGACAGAGCGAGACTCCGTCTCAAAAAAATGAACAAAGAAACAAAGTGAGGATAAAATTTAAAAATCCCCATTTAAACAATACCATCAGAATGATGATAGATGCAGGCAAAATTTGTAAGTTAATGTTAAAGTATAGGTAAAAATTTGATGAGGATCAGGATATTTACGTAGTCTCAGAGTATTTCCCTGTAGATTATTTATTAATTACAATGAGGAAAATGATAATTTTTCAGGGAAGAAACAGTAATTACAAACTTAAAATCAAGTGATCAAGCTAACTTCAGTCAGCTCATGCCTCTTGGTGTGAGAGAGGGTAATAACGTGATTTCTGTGACATTTCTCCCAAATTCCATAACCCGATGTAATCTTATCATGGCTAATACAGATTAAGAAACGTTGCACAAAACCACTGGAAAAACTCTTCAAAAACATGTCGGTGTTGTGAAAGACAAGAAGATTAAGAAACTGTTCCAAATTAAAGGGCACTAAAGAGTCAAGACAACTAGATTCATATGTGATTCTGAAATGGATCCTAGCTTGGAAGAGAAATTTCTATAAAAGTTTTTATTGGTACAATTAGACAATTTTTAATAGACTTTATATTAGACTATATTCACATTTATCAATGTCAAATTTACTGAACTTGATAATTGTGTTGTGTTAAGGAATTGACCTTTTTCTTAAGAAATACACATTGAAGTATTTAAGAATAAAAAGATATGATGTCTGAAAATCATTATCAAATAGTTTAGAGAAATAATCTTTGTCTGATATATATATATAATACATACTACATATATATGATATGTATTCCAGTATTGTTGATTTGTCATTGAGGAAAAGATGTTTTGAAATTATCCCAAGATTTGAACAATATATGCTTCTCAGATGGTCCCACTTTATTTTAAATGTTGCAAGGCAGAGACAAAGGTACAAATTTCTCAATTTGTATTAGAATTTAGAAGGTGTTTTATTCTATTTTCCTTGTCACACTCCTTGCTTGTGAGTCAATCAACTAAGGACATCTGAAAGAGACAGAGTTTCTTTCTCAGAGTCAGGAGGTAATGAGGGGCTGCTCTGGTAGGGAAAGAAATAGTGAAGTTCTTTTTTGGAGAAAAGCAGCAAAAAAAAAAGAGAGTGACAGGAGAAAAAGAAAGAAAGAATGGAAGGAAGGGAAGGAGGAAAAGAAACAGTAAAGTTGACAAACAGAACTCCCTTCCCTCTTTATTAGTCTTCAGGAAATATAGAGTTTGAAACTATCATAGCCCAGGAAACCCTTTAAATAGGGCCATCAGTAGGCCAGAAATTTTGATTAGTGCCTTGAAAATAAAAGCATAGCCGGGCGCGGTGGCTCACGCCTGTAGTCCCAGCACTTTGGGAGGCCGAGGCGGGCGGATCACGAGGTCAGGAGATCGAGACCATCCTGGCTAACACAGTGAAACCCCGTCTCTGCTAGAAATGCAAAAAATTAGCCTGGCGTGGTGGCGGGCGCCTGTGGTCCCAGCTGCTCGAGGAGGCTGAGGCAGAGAATGGCGTGAACCCGAGAGGCGGAGCTTGCAGTGAGCTGAGATCGCGCCACTGCACTCCAGCCTGGGAGAGAGAGCGAGACTACGTCTTAAAAAAAAAAAAAGAAAAAAGAAAGAAAGTAAAAGCAGAAGTGATTAGACGGACAGGAAACAGCAGAGGAAATGGCTGCTGTTTCACTACAGTTAAAATGTCTTACACATCTGTGAACTATTTGTCCTCTTCTCAGAGGAGGGACACTTTTTTAGGTACTAAAAAAGAATTGTCTGGCACTTCATGGCAGCAACATGTTTGATGTTAACTGACATTTCCAGACATCCAGGTATGATTTTTATTTAGCGACTTTAAAAGAAGGATGAGAAAAAAAACAAAAAAACAAAAACAAACCATGAGCCAGGCGTGGTGGCCTGCATCTATAGTCCCAGCTACACCTACTCAGGAGGCTGAAGAGGAGGCAGGAAAACAGCTTGAGGTCAGGAGTTGGAAGCCCCAGTGCTCTACGATTGCCCTGGTGAATAGCCACTGCACTCTAGTCTGGTCATCAAAACAAGATCCCGTCTATTAAAAATAGAAAGAAAATAAAGGAAGAAAGAAAAGAAAGGAAGGAAGAAAGAAGGAAGGAGCGAGAGAGAAAGAAAGGAAGGAGAGAGGGCAAAAGGAAGAAAGGAATGGAGGGAGGGAGAGATTGACAGAACAGATTAGAAAACATAATCCAACTATACACTATCTAAAAGAAACTCATTTCAAATATAATTATATAAGCAGGCTGAAATTAAGGGGATAAAATATATTACATGCAAAAGTTAATCAAAAGAAAGCAAAAGTGACTATATTAATATAAACTTAAGAACAAAGAAAATCCACCAAGAAGGCATAACAATCCTAAATATGTATACACCAAACAGCAGAGCTGCAACATGTAAAAAAAAAAAAAAAAAAAAAAAACAGGACCGGGCGCGCTGGCTCACGACTGTAATCCCAGCACTTTGGAAGGCCGAGGCGGGCGGATCACAAAGTCAGGAGATTGAGACCATCCTGACCAACATGGTGAAACCCCATCTCTACTAAAAAAAAAAAAAAAAAAAAAAAAAAAAGCTGGGCGTGGTCGTGCGCCCTGTAGTCCCAGCTACTCGGGAGGCTGAAGCAGGAGAATTGCTTGAACCTGGGAGGCGGAGGTTGCAGTGAGCCAAGATCGTGCCACTGCACTCCAGCCTGGGCAACAAAGTAAGGCTCTGTCTCAAAACAAAACAAAACAAAACACCCAGACAGGGCGCAGTGGCTCACGCCTGTAATCCCAGCACTTTGGGAGGCCGAGGTGGGCGGATCACCTGAGGCCAGGAGTTGGAAAGTAGCCTGGCCAACATGGTGAAACCCGTCTCTACTAAAAATACATACATTAGCCGGGCATGGTGGTGCAGTGGCGTGCACCTGCAGTCCCAGCTACTAGGGAGGCTGAGGCTCGAGAATTGCTTGAACCCGGGAGGTGGAGGTTGCAGTGAGCCGAGATGGTGCCACTACACTCCAGCCTGGGTGACAGAGCGAGACTCTGACTCATAAATAAATAAATAAATAAATGTAATACATAAATAAATATTTTAAAAAACAAAAAAGATAGAATTAAAAAAATCGACAAATGCAGTTACATTAGAGACTTCACTTCTCTCTCTCTCTTTTTTGTGAATTTGTTCTTATTGGGGAAGACGGCACAGGGTGGGAAATGTCGCCTTGGGCTATGGTATGCCCCACCTCCCAGAGAATGTCCATTTGCATTCTAATCTTCCTGGGATGCTTTATGGAACTTTTTCTTCTTCTTGGAGCTGCTCTTGCCAGCCGCCTCTTCAGGCCCACTGCTGACCAGCTCCTCTTTGGAGAATTTCCTCGTTTTCTTGGAGCCACTTCTGTGGCCTGACTCTTCGGTGTCATTAACTGTTTCCTCCTTGGGTGAAGACTTCTTCCTCTTGGGAAGACTGGTGCTGCCAGCGGTCTCTTCAAGATCGCTACTCATCAACTCCTCCTTGGAAAAAGATTTCTTTTTCTTGGGTTTGGAGAAAGAGATAGATGGGTCTTCCATTCCATTCTCCTGATGAATCTCCTGGGGCTTTTGCTTTTTCTTCTTTTTGGGTTTTTCAATCGTCTCCTCACACGCTCTGTCGCCCAGTCTGGAGTGCAGTAGCGCAATCTTGGCTCACTGCAAGCTCCGCCTCCCGGGTTCACGCCATTCTCCTGCCTCAGCCTCTGCGTAGCTGGGACTACAGGCGCCCGCCACCACGCCCGGCTAATTTTTTGTATTTTTAGTAGAGACGGCGTTTCACCATGTTAGGCAGGGTGGTGTCCATCTCCTGACCTGGTGATCCACCCGCCTCGGCCTCCCAAAATGCTGGGATTACAGACGTGAGCCACCACGCCCGCGCCATTTCTCTCATAATAACAGAAAAACTACACAGAAAATCTGCAAGGATATTGAAGAACCCCAAATCATCTTCAGGCAACAGAATTCAGTCACCATGTATAGAACAGTCCACACAAGAAAAGCAGAACACGCATTCATTTCAAATTCATACGTAACGTAGATCAAGATAGAACATACCTCATACCTTGGGCCTCAACAAATTTAAAAGAATTGACTGACATAGTATGATCCCTAACCACAATGAAATCAAACTAAAAATCAGTCACAGAAAGACAACAAAAATATCCAAACACTTGGAAAATGAACAACACACTACTAAATATTCCATAGGACAAAGAGAAAGCCTTAGTAGAGATCAAAAAAATAAATTAACCTGAATAAAAATGAAAACACAATGTATCAAAATTTCCAAGACAACTTAATCTCTGAGAGAGAAATTTACAGCACTAAGTGCATACATTAGAAAAGAAAAAAGTCGGCCAGGCGCGTGGCTCACGCCTGTAATCCCAGCACTTTGGGAGGCCGAGGCGCGTGGATTACAAGGTCAGGAGTTGGAGACCAGCCCGGCCAAAAAAAAAAAAAAAAAAAAAAAAAAAAAAAAAAAAAAAAGAAAGAAAAGAAAAAAGTCTCAAATCAGTCCTTTAAGCTCTTACTTGAAGAACTCAGGTGGGGGAAAATAACCCAAAGCAAATAGAAGAAAGGAAATGAGCAGAAATAAACGGAACTGAACACACACGCACAAAATAGAAAAACAAACAAAAAGCTAGTTCCTTTAAAAGATCAATAAAAGAAGACCTCTAGGAGGACTGATAATTTTTTAAGAAGAGAGATGACACAAATTGCCAATATCAAGAATAAAAAGAAGAGTATATCACTATAGACTCTGCTGACATCAAAAGGGTAAATGAATACTATGAACAACACTTTACACACAAATTTGAAAACTTAGATGAGATGGACTAATTCCTTGAAAATCACAAACTATCACAACTCACTCAATATGAAATATATTTTTCTATAACCTTGTAACTACTAAGGAAATTAAATTTGTGATATAAAAACTTTAAAAAAAAAACAGACTCTTCAGGTTCAAGAAAGTTTCACTGTATAATTCGTCGCCCCCGCCCTCCACCCCCTCCCCCAGAAGGAGTCTTGCTGTGTTGCCCAGGCTGGAATGCAGTAGTGCAATCTGGGCTCACTGCAACCTCCACCTTCCAGGTTCAAGCGATTCTCCTGCCTCAGCCTCCCAGGTAGCTAGGATTACAGGCACGTGCCAGCACGCCCGGCTAATTTTTGTATTTTTAGTAGAGATGGGGTTTCACCATGTTGGCCAGGCTGGTTTCCAACTCCTGGCCTCAGGTGATCCGCCTGCCCCGGCCTCTCAAAGTGCTGGGATTGCAGGCATGAGCCACCGCCTATGCCAATGTAGGCATATCTTAAAAGGATACATGACCTGGGGATACTTTGAGTATTCAGATTAATTAATTTTTAAAGTGTTTTTTAAATTCTCCCTTCTTACATCTTCTTTTCCTTCTGCCTTCAAGGGCTGTCACACGAAGAGTAGCGTAGGTGGATAAAAAAACAGAATGGTCAGTACCGCCTGGGGGATTTAGGTCCAGGTGAGGAGGTGAGAAGGTGGAATTCCCAGCTCTTAGAAATGAAGACCCAGGAAGTGGGTCGCTGCCTGTCCTTACCCTCGCCAGCCCCTGGGCCGGCACCGTGGCTGAAACCCAGCATGGATTTCATCTTGGGGACGTTGTGGCTCCAGTTTTGAGACTCAAGTAACGATGGATGGAGAGGAGAACAAGGACCACCTGAGCTCGACCACAAGAGCTCGAGGAGGGAAGCAGGGACGCGGTGGGGTGCGCACCTGCGGCTGCGGCAGCAAAGGCGGAGGAGGAGCGAAGTGGACGAGCACCCGAGGCTGCCAGAGGATCTGGGCAGCCTGGGTGCCCATCTCTGCTGCGTTTCCTCGGTGTCCACGATAGGTGAGAGGGCTCATTCCCTGTAGGAGAAGTGAGCTGAAAACACTTTCCCCGCAAGATCTCCCTCGTTTTACTCAAGGTAGTCGCGGCGTTGAGAACGCCTCGCAGCTCCTTTACTGGCTGGGGTACTGGGGAGCAGGGGTACCCTTGAGTTTTGGTACAGGCGGGTGGTATTGGTGGCTTCCGAGGAAAGGACAGAGAAGCCGCCTATTTCCAATCCCTACTGTTCGTCAGGGGGAGAGTGTTGAACCAGGTCTCTCTAGACCCTCCTGCTTAAGCCCCTTTGTTATAGGTAGGAGAGTGTGTTCTGTTTTGGTATTTGAGTGTGTGTGTGTGTGTTTAGCTTCTTGAGCTTGGAATATGTCATGAAATACAAGAAAGATCAGGGAGTCTCAGTATATTTTAAACTTAAATTGGTTTTCAGAAGTACTTATACCTTGTTCCTAAGGAATTCAGGGTGTCCAGATTTCAACCTGCCTAGCAGTGCGAAGCTCTATGAGTCGAATATCCTAGGCTTTCTTCCATATCAGCAAGCCTCTGAAATTTAGGTTTCTTTCTGGAGAATATCACCCACACTTTGGCAGTGGGCTCCTACATTGCCTACATCCAACTCTTGGAAGCAAGAAGAGTGGGCAAAACCAAGGTCACCACACAAAAGTATATCCCTACACGAGATAAGTGGAAATAAAGCACTGGCTTAGGTGTGGAGAGGAAGAGACAAATGTGAAAACGCAGAAGGTAGACAGACAGAGAACATCTTCCAAGGAGGAAGAGTCTCCTAACCACAAGGAACTCTCTACTTAATGCTGCGAAGATATTTTAATTACATTTTATGCATTAGATTGCTTTTTTTGTTTGTTTTTGTTTTTTGTTTTTGATGGAGTCTCGTTGTGTCACCAAGCTTGAGTGCAGTGGTGCCATCTCGGCTCACTGCAATCTCCGCTTCCCAGGTTCAAGGGATTCTCCTGCCTCAGCCTCCCCGTAGCTGGGACTACAGGCATGGCCATCATGCCCAGCTAATTTTTTATTCTCCTGCCTCAGCCTCCCCGGCCACCATGCCCAGCTAATTTTTGTATTTTTGGTAGAGACGGGTTTCACCATGTTGGCCAGGAATGTCTCGATCTCTTGACCTCGTGATTCACCCGACTTGGCCTCCCAAAGTGCTGGGATTACAAGCATGAGCCACCGCCCCCAGCCACATAGACTGGGTTTTTAACAACTGGATCTTAGACCAGAATATTGGCAGAATTGGTGGGGGCTTGACAGAGAGCAGGGTGAATTCCAACCCTGAGGGTGGAGCAAGAATGATTACAGTGTCTTCCTCAGAGCTTAGAAACTTCCAAGCTCTAAGGAAAGGCCTTAGGTTTCAAATTGAAAGGCCAAAATAGCTTGAGATGGCTCCAGGTATTTTGGCTGGAAAGAGTCTCCTGGCTCTAAAGAACCCCTGTGAGTTCTTCTACAGGAAAATCAGAGGCTCTTGTGTGTGATCTCTAGTCATCTAAAATATTGAAGGTCTCAAAGAGGTAATAAATCCACTCTCATCCTGATGTAATGCAAATACGTCACTGGCTTTCCTACGTGGTTTGAGTTTTTTATTGAAAATAGGCAGGGAACCCCGGGAGCAACTCTTTCTCCTTAGCAAGCATCTGGCCCTGAACTCCTTCTGAAACTTCTAGAGCAGTGCTTCTCAAACTTTAGCATCAGAGTCACTTGAGGGCTTATTCAACACAGGTGGCTGGGTCCCACTCTCATCAATTCTGATTCTGTAGATCTGAGGTTGGGCCTGGAATTTGACATTCCACTAGTAGCACCCTAATCCCTCATGCCTTGCTCTCCTGTGCAGCATCCTTTGTGGCAAACATGACACTATTTCCTTAAAGTGCCTGGAGAGAACCAGTAGATAGTAGGGGGGAAATATTAAGAAATGAAAAGAAAATATATGGCATCTCTTCGTTACCTGTCTCCAAAAAATGCATCTTGAAACAAACATATGATTGGCCTGGGGGCACACAGCCAATCCTCAGCTAAGCAGGTTTCACCAGACAGTATCCCTCCTGGATACTGGTTATGGATATTTTCACCGGATAAAAGAATCAAGAAGTGAGGACATCCCAGCCTGATAGAGTGTTAGACTGGTGGATGGTGACAAACATCATACTCTGTTGCCTCTCAAAGATGCTTTGATTCAACAGCAAACATGTACAGAGGACAGCAATTTTGAAACATACAACATTGGAAACCCCTAAAAGGTATCATCAGTGAATAGGATTTCCTGGGAGTTCCCTGGTCATGCAATGCAATTGTGATGGGATTGACAGAGAAAGAACAAAAAAAATTTGTTTTCTTTTGTTTTTACCTGAGGAAGTGCTCAACACACCTGCGATCCACTCACCTTTTACTTTGCGTCTATTTTCCATTGTGACAGAAAAACTTTTCCTACTTTTTCACATGAGTCCTCCGTTGGCTGTTAACAGAGGTTTCCAGGCAATGTTTTATTTTAACAAGGAAAATGGAATGGCTGAGGAAATACAGGAAAATGAATCAATTGTATCAGTAGGGAATGTTGATCCGTATTGGTTTCTGCTCCTCTCATGTTGAAGGTCTCTTATTCCCTGACAGTCTTTGTTCGGTCATCCAGCGTCCTTCCACTCCCATCTCAAGCGGCTGGAGAGCCACAGCAGTCCTTGTCTCAGTATTGGATTACACTTGTGGCTGTGCTTTCTGCGCAGGTTGACAGGGAGAGACTGGAGGAGAAATCAGTGGACAGATGCTTTCGCTCTGTTCTTTGGCCCAGAAAACAAAACTAAAGTAAAAAAAAACAAAAAACAAACAAACAAAAAAGATGATGCTGGGAGCGGTGGCTCACGCCTGTAATCCCAGCACTTTGGGAAACTGTGGCGGGTGGATCACCTGAGGTCTGGGGTTCGAGACCAGTGTGGCCAACATGGTGAAACCCCGTCTCTACTAAAAATACAAAAATTACCCGGGCCTGATGGCACGCACCTGTAAACCCACCTGCCGAGGCAGAAGAATCGCT
Source organism: Homo sapiens (assembly GCF_000001405.40). Lineage (NCBI taxonomy): Eukaryota > Metazoa > Chordata > Mammalia > Primates > Hominidae > Homo > Homo sapiens. Next base: position 54,887 of record NT_167245.2, read on the forward strand.
TGAACCCGGGAGGCAGCGGTTGTAATGAGCCAAGATTAAGCCACTGCACTCCAGCCTGGGCTACAGAGCGAGACTCTGTCTCCAAAAAAAAAAAAAAAAAAAAAAAAAGAATGGCCGCGGGGCGCTTTTCTCCCTTCTTCTTTGTCTTTCCTTCTCTTTAATCATAGCACAAAATGAGAGCAAATGTGAACCTCCCGTGGATGTGCACACTTTTGTTTGGGTTCAAGAGACCCTGTTGGGATCCCATTCTTCTTTCTTCCTCATTTCTTTTTCACCTTCCTTCTGCCGTCACAATCGCCTTCAGTGATGTCGAAGCTCACGGCATAGAAATGGGTTATAAATGGAGGCAACCCATTGGGTTACGTCTTTACTCTCTATATGTGCAGAAATAGGACAGAAAAAGGTGCGGAGGCAGAAGTAAGTCTATGTTGCTTGAGAATTAGGTTTGAGCACTACCAGAGCAAAAAGTCACCGTTTGGAGGTGCCGGGGATCGAACCCGGGACCTCATACATGCAAAGCATGCGCTCTACCACTGAGCTACACCCCCTTCCTGAAAAAAATCCTTCTTGTAATAATTTCCAGGAGGTAACTTTCTTTTTCTGAGTATTGTGGAGCGTCTGCAGCTGCTGTGAGTAGAAGATACTAGGTACTAACGGGGGATACAAATTATTTAGAATACAGTATACGACTTGAAATGGAAGGCGCCTGTAATCCCAGCTACTGGGGAGGCTGAGCCAGGAGAATCCTTGAACCCGGGAGGCGGAGATTGCACTGAGCCGACATCGCGCCACTGCACTCCAGCCTGGGCATCGGAGCGAAACTCAATCTCAAAAAAAAAAAAAATCACTTCCTAGGTTTCAGACTGTAAATAATTTATTTAATGTCAGCGCTTCATGGAAGACTTCACTGGAATATGCAACCAAAGCAGAGAGTGATGCATATATATATATATGCGTGTGTGTGTGTGTGTGTGTGTGTGTGTGTATTACCTTTATCGGATTTTCAACAGCAAAAAATTGGAGTTCTATACACCTTTCTGGGATTGGCATGCAAGTGTTGTATAAGGGTTGTATCAGCCGAGCGCTGTGTCTTACGCCTGTAATCCCAGCACTTTGGGAGGCCGAGGCGGGCCGATCACCTGAGGTCGGGAGTTCGAGACCAGCCTGACCAACATGGAGAAACTCCGTCTCTACTAAAAATACAAAATTAGCCAGGCGTGGTGGCGCATGCCTGTAATCCCAGCTACTCGGGAGGCTGAGGCAGGAGAATCGCTTGAACTCAGGAGGCGGAGGTTGCGGTGAGCCGAGTTCGCTCCATTGCACTCAGCCTGGGCAACAAGAGTGAAACTCCGTCAAAAAATAAATAAATAAACAAAATAAGGGTTCTATTAGGCAAAACTGAAAGAAAGAAAGAAAAAAAAAAAACCCTGCCGAAACCCGGGATCGAACCAGGGACCTTTAGATCTTCAGTCTAACGCTCTCCCAACTGAGCTATTTCGGCTTCCCGAATTTGTTGTTTTAGGTGTTTCTTCAAAATATAAAAACTCATTTGTAGGGTCAGTATATCTTCCAATTCTGTTGTCTTCAATATCACCTGTCATTCACTCACCCCTTCACCCCCAAAATATAGATTCTTCCCCAATTTATGTCTGAAAACAGGACCCAATTTTAAGGACAATGAATGGGTTAGCAAAAGCCAGGGAAAGAAAAGGCAAAAATGAAGAATAGAGCAAAGTAAGAACATGCTCCCCTACATGGTCACTGCTCAGAATACCAAGGGAATTCAAAAGAAAATTTTCTAGGCTTTTCCTTTTCTCTGGGCTCTTGTTTTTCTGTCTTGCTCTTCAACGATATGGCAAAAAGGAACAGAGGATTATTGGGCACGTTAATGTGGTGGCAGGTTTATAGCTTCTGACTAAGGAAATCCTGAGCGAGAAAATTCATTTTCGCTATTCCCTTCCTTTCACTCGTCTTGTGCTGACACATCCACCTTGGGTGGTACAGAGACCCAGGGAGTGGAAATGGAAAGTATAATATGTTTATTTTAGTGTGACCACGCAAGGCATGTTTTTAAAAGGAGAAAAGTACAGAGTGGCGAGAATTGTGAAAAACAGATGAACATGTATGCTTTTGAACTCTGTGCAAGGCAAGGACACACTACCACTGAGCCACACCTCTCTCGCTACAGAAACATCGTGAAGATCTTTTTTGACGCATTAGTCATATTTCTGAGAGGTCTTCAAAAATATGGTAAGTTGGCCGGATAGAAAATCCACTGTCTCATATCTCACTATTTCTTACCTCTAAACTATATCCCCTGAAGCTGCTAGGAGAAATGTAAGAGAATCACAGACCAGAACACAGTTTCTGCTTTTGGAACATTTCATCCCATCAGTTTATTCTGAGGTTTCCTCTCCAGCAAACTGCCTGGGGGCATTTTCTCCCACAGCCAACAGGTAAGATGTCCAGATGGAACTTCCTCTGGGGTCTTCAACCTGTCTGTCTCCATTTCTTCTCTTTCATCTGCTTACAAAGTTTTTCAAGCCCCATCCTCCTTAAGAAAAGATGATGAGCCACAGTCTAGGAGAAGATATTCCAATACTTATATTTTACTAAGGATCTTTATCTGGAATATGTTAAGAACTTCTACAAAGCACTAAGAAAAAGACTAAAACTTCAATAAGAAAGAGCAAATTAATATGAACTTCACAAAAAATCGCTATTGAGTAAAATAAAATATGCTCGACATCTTTTGCTATAAAGGAAATGCAAATTAAAAACACAACAATGCTGGACACAGTGGCTCACGCCTATACTCCCAGCAGTTTGGGAGGTCGAGGCGGGTGGATCACTTGAGGTTAGGAGTTCAAGACCAGCTGGCCAACATGGCGAAACCCGGTCTCTACTACAAATACAAAAATTTAGACGGCCACATGCCCCTGTAGTCCCAACTACTCAGGAGGCTGAGGCATGAGAATCTCTTGATCCTGGGAGGCAAAGGCTACAGTGAGCCAAGATTGTGCCGCTGCACTCCAGCCTGGGCAGCACAGCAAGACACTGTCGAAAAAAAAAACACAAAATAATATTGCTCTTCATTGGAATCATTTAACCCAAAAAGTGGATAATATCAAGTGTTGCTGAGTATGTGAAGCAATTGGAACGTGCATACATGGCTGATGAGACTGTAAACTGCTATATCTACACTGGGAAACTATCTGAAAATATCAACTAAATATATATATATATATATATATATATATATATATATATATATATATGCTATGACCCCAAAACTAGACGGTTACATTTATACCCAAGAGAAGTGCATGAGCATCTCCCTTGAAGGACATGTATCAGAATGTTTACAGCAGCATTAGACATTTCAACCAAAAACGAGGGGTGCTGCAAATGTACTTGGACAGTAAAATGAATTAATAAATCATGATGTACAGTATTCAGACAATAGAATACTCGAGAGCAACAGAAAATAACTACTGTTACTAGCAACAATATATAGAAAATGAAGGCTGGGCACGGAGGCTCACGCCTGTAATCCCAGCACTTTGGAAAGCTGAGGCGGGCAGATCACGAAGTCAGGAGATCGAGACCATCCTGGCTAAAACAGTGAAACCCTGTCTCTACTAAAAATACAAAAAATTAGCTGGGCGTGGTGGATGGCACCTGTAGTCCCAGCTACTCGGGAGGCTGAGGCAGGAGAATGGCGTGAACCTGGTAGGCAGAGCTTGCAGTAAGCCAAGATCGCGCCACTGCACTCCAGCCTGGGCGACAGAGCAAGTCTCCACCTTGAAAAAAAAAAAAAGAAGAAAAAAGAAAAGAAAATGAATCTAATTTTTTTAACAAAAATTAAGTGAAAGAATCCATACTCAAATGAGTACAGATTTGCTGTGGTTTGAAAGTGTCCCCTCCAAAGCTTAGGTGTCACCATGTGATAATTATCAAGACATAGGGCCTTTAAGAAGATTAAGCCATGAGGGTTCCTTCCTCATGAATAATATTAGGTACCCTTATAATAAGAGTTGACAAAGGAAGTTCATCTCTCTATTGCCTTCAGTTTTCTGCCATGTGAGAACACAACAAAAAGGCCATCACCAGACATGAGAGCCAGTGACTTGATCTTGAACTTCCCAGCCTCCAGAACTGTGAGAAAATGTTTCTGGGCCTGGTGCAGTGGCTGTCTCCTGTAATCCCAGGGTTTTGGGAGGCCAAGGTGGATGGATCACCTGAGGTCAGGAGTTCGAGACCAGCCTGGCAAACATGGTGAAACCCCATCTCTACTAAAAATACAGAAAAATTAGCTGGGCGTGGTAGCATTCGCCTGTAATCCCAGCTACCCAGGAAGCTGAGACAGGAGAATTGCTTGAATCCGGGAGGCAGAGGTTGCAGTGAGCCAAGACTGAGCCACTGCACTCCAACCTGGGCAACAAGAGTGAAACTCTGTCAGGAAGTGAAGGGAAGGGAAGGGAAGGGAAGGGAAGGGTTCTGTTCGTTACAAATTACCAGTCTTGAGTGATTTTGTAGCAGCCCAAAATAGACTACGATGATATTATATGATCCCATTTATATTATTTAAAACATAAGAAAAATAATCTATGGAGGTGGAGGTCAGAGAGTTAGGATAATTGAAATGAGGCAAAAGGCAGCTGTTGGTTGCTGAAAAATTCAGTATCTTGGCCTGAATTTTGGTTATATATAATAAGCCGTAAGCTGAATAGGTTTCATGTGTTTTATTTTATATAAATGAAGGCTTAAATTTAAATACAAGAAAAAAAAAGGTTTTCCTAAGTACTTCCTATCCTCCAGTACATTCTCTCTCTTCCTTAGGGTTGTTTTGTTTTGTTTTGTTGAGACGGAGTCTCGCTCTGTCGCATCCTCATGATTATTAGGACTTGGATGGACGGGATGGTACAGTGAGTCTAAGCGCCACATCCCTCCGTCGCTTCCTCTGGATATGAGGGAAGAAAGGTACTTTTTTTGTCCTTAGGGAGGAAGACTCGACCAGGAAGGGGACCTGGTTCGTTTCGGCTTCAAGAGCGCCTCTCCGCTATTTCCGTCGCTCAGCAGACCGGCTGAACTCTTTGGAGGAGAGAGTGATACTGGGTTTTGGTTTGCCCTTCAGGAACCGCTGATACTGTAGCTTCTGAGGGAGCTGCAGGGATTTCCCGATTTCCTGCGTGCCTGTGTTAAAAGTTAGAAGCGGGATCTGCTGGCAGCTTCGAAACTGAGCATGACGGTGGAAACATCTAATTTTATTAGTTTTTGCTTGAAATGCAAAAGATGAGAAAGAAAGTTTCCGTTTGTTTGCTCCACATATTTCTCTTAGAATGAAGCCGATTGAAAGTTAACTTCACCCTGAAGAAACTCCTCCTGGCGTTTGCAACGATCTCCTGTATGTCTCACGTCCAGCTTGACTCAAAAGGACTCTAAAGAGCTGGAGAGCGGCTGCGGAAAGGCGGAGTCACGGTACAATCGGTGTTAACTACTTGTGCAACCACCGCCTCCTTAGTCCTATTAGAGGCGCAGAGGCAGTATAGCTGAATCCCTCACAAGTCGAGTGGGTTGACCTCAGATTGACTTTAGCGATGGCTTGTGACCACCTGATAGATAGTGGCCGTTACAGCGTTTAGAAAGTGAGTAAAAGAAAGGATGCATAGGGAAGCCCACAAGTTTGCTTGGCTTCTGCAGATGGAGAGAGGTCGCTTTTCTGCCTTCTGGATGTTTAGTAACTTATTTTTTATTTCCTTTGTTGGCATGAAATAGAGCTGAAAATAAAAGCAGATTTTCTTTTAACAAGATAGTATTAAGATGCTTGCAGAGTATTTCTCTGTGGATTTCTGCTTGGCACTGTGATACCACAAAGAGCTCTAATCTGGAGGTATGGGTTGTTCCCTAGCTTAGAAGGAGGTCAATCCTGGAGAGTAAGTACTGTGAGGTACAAAAGGATCCTTTGGGATTGGAAAAATAAACGTTCATTACTTTTATTTATGTAAAACAGCAAAATGAGCTTTCTCCTATACTGATCTTGGTCCCTGGAGTTCAGAGTGTTTGCATCTCAGACCAGAAGCTTCCTCAGAGGACCCAGAGAAGTGCTTTTTACTTCCACCAAATTTCAGCTGAGGTGAATGCTGTCTTTTCGTCATTTGTTGTGTGTTTGTAGTTAAGTAGTTTAAGTTTCAGAGTTTGTGGGTCTCCAATGGAAAAGGTTACCACCACACATCAAACCATCAACCCCTGGCAGTGTAATCTTTTAGTGAAAGCTTGTAGGGCTTCTGCAACCTGGTTAGGAGGAGTTAGAAAAAGAAACAGAAAAAGACTTGAGCCTTTTAGCTTCTGATCTGAAATCAGACTTGGGCCACACAGGTCTATGGTTTCTGATGATTTCATTTACAGCTAGAAATTGGCTGGATGGCCAGGAATACTACTTGCTTCCCCCGTGCGTGGTCCATGTTAATGATTGATGGGACTGCTTAGAAAGAATAGGCGGATAATCCTAGGCAGCAAATAACCTCAAGTGAATGAACACGCATCACCCTCTGTATGAGAGAGAAATGCAGAGGCCAACACAATTCACCTTGACAGACAGAAAAATTTAAAGTTGGGGAATATCATGGACCGCTTCTTACTGGTGTCCCGGGGAAGAAAACACGGCCTGGAGGTACTGGGGATCGAACCCAGGACCTCGTGCATGCTAAGCACGCGCTCTACCACTGAGCTATACCCCCTCTGGACTCAGGGCCTTCGGAAAACGCTTTGGTGACGGCCAATATGTGAGCCTGCCCTCTGTGTCAGGATAATCACTATATGTTTCCAATTCCATTGTTAATTCCCTACATGAAGCGCTTCCTCTTTTAGGCACGGCTGGGCCAAAAGAAGAGTAGCTTAGCCGGGTGCAGTGGCTTATGCCTGTAATCCCAGCACTTTGGGAGGCTGAGGCGGGTGGATCACGAGGTCAGGAGTTCAAGACCAGCCTGGGCAAGATAGTGAAACCCTGTCTCTACTAAAAATAGAAAAATTAGCCGGGCGTGGTGACAGGCGCCTGTAATCCCAGCTACTCTGAAGTAGAGAATTGCTTGAACCCGGGAGGCAGAGGTTGCAGTGAGCCGAGATCGGGCCACTGCACTCCAGCTTGAGCGACAGAGCGAGACTCCGTCTCAAAAAAAGAAAGAAAGAAGAAAGAGAGAGAGAGAGAGAGAGAGAGAGACAGAAACAAAGAAAGAAAGAGAGAAATAAAGAGAAAGAAAGAAAGAGAAAAGAAAGGAAAGTAGCTTAGTGGTAAAAATAAAGGCACTGTTCCTGATTTGTGGTCAACCCAAGATCAACTCACCCCAAGGTGGACTCTCCATCACGTTAGACTTCCTGGAGCATACTTGCATTCTATCATTTGAGTGTGTCCCGGTATACAACATTCTCTTGCAAATTTTCTGATTATAACTTTCTGTATTCTTTTGACTCTTGGAAGCATGTTGGTGTTTCACATAGTCAAAAAATAAAACTGACTCAAGTGCGTGTGAAAATACCTTAAAATTCAATACGAATAGAGGCAAATTCAAATGGCGTTGTCTATCGCTTCTCGGCCTTTTGGCTAAGATCAAGTGTAAAATTGCATTGTGAAACAATAACATACTCCTACTTGAAAAGGAAAGAACTGATCTATGAAAATGGTTTATACAGTTTGTTGTTCTAATTGTAAGATTAAAAAGAATTGCAAACAAATCTTGAACTCTGTATCAGGGTTATTTTTGTAGAGCTAGGGCTGTAAGAATTCTGAGATTTTGTGTGAATTTTAGGATTGGGAAAATGAGTGTGTGTGACCGGGTGTGTTGGAACCAGGCTGTCACTGTAAGAGAAAGAAGGTAAAGAATAGTCCTGTTGGTGTTGATGAGAATTGGAGGCGTCAGTATGAAATTATACATATGTAATTTTATAGGCTGGGCGCAGTGGCTCACGTTTGTAATCTCAACACTTTGGCAGGCCAAGACGGGCAGCTCACTTGAGGTCAGGAGTTCGAGAACAGCCTGGCCAACATGGTGAAACCCCCGTCTCTACTAAAAATACAAAAATTAGCCGGATGTGGTTGTGCGTGCCTGTAGTCCCAGCTACTCGGAAGTCTGAGGCAGGAGAATCGCTTGAACTCAGGAGGCAGACGTTGCAGTGAGCCAAGATCCTGCCACCGCACTCTGGCCTGGGTGACTTAGACTTTGTCTCAAAAAAAAAAAAAAGTAAAATTTCCCTGCAGATCTGTCTGCTAACTGGGCCTGGAAGAAATACCTCAGAAACAATAAGCAAAGATAACAATATTTTGATTCACAAATACCATTCCCTACTAAAAGGCACCAGAGATACTAATAGAAAGTAGCTACTAGTGTCAACTACACTGACTCCAGGACTCATGCCACTGCACTACAGCCTGGGCGACAAAGCGAGACTCTGTCTCAAATAAATAAATAAATATGGAAGATGGGAAGATTTTCTTTACAGTGGTATGCCAGCTAATAAATGTGGAAAGAAGGATAAAATTTGCAAATCCCCATTAGAAAATTAGAAAATCTGGACACCATCAGAATGCTGATAGGTGCAGGCAAAATTATAAGTCAATGCTAAAAGTATAGGTAAAATTTTGATGAGGATCAGGATATTTATATAGTCTCAGAGTATTTCTCTAGAGCTTACTTATTGATTACAATGAGGAAGATGATACTTTTGCAGGGAAGAAATAGTAGTTACAAACTTAACCAAATGATGAAAGCTAACTTCACTAATAATGGGGAAAATTGGCATCACATGCTTCTTGGTGTGATAGAGGATAATATGATTTTTTGTGACATTTCTTCCAATTTCCATAAACTTAATCTTACCATGAGTAGGACAAATTAAGAAATATTCCACAAACCACTGGCATATACTCTTCAAAAACATTATCAAAGTTGTGAAAGACACAATTGAGCAACTGTTCTAAATTAAAGGAGACTAAAGAGTCAAGACAATTAGATTCATATGTGTCTGTGAAATGGATCCTAGCTTGGGAGAGAAATTTCTATAAAAGATTGTATTGATACAATTAGTTAAATTTTTATAGATTGTATATTAGATAATGCTATTTTATCAATGTTAAGTTTACTGAATTTGATAATTGTGCTGTGTTAAGGAACTGATCTTGTTTTAAGAAATACACATTGATGAATTTAGGGATTAAAAAGATATAATGTCTGAAAATCATCAAATAGTTTAGAGAAATAATCTTTGAGATCTCTCTCTGTGTCTCTCTCCATATATATATATGGAGTGTATATATATATATATATATATATATATATGGAGTATATATATATATATATATATATGGAGTATATATATATATGGAGTATATATATATATGGAGTATATATATATATGGAGTATATATATATATATGGAGTATATATATATATATGGAGTATATATATATATATGGAGTATATATATATATATGGAGTATATATATATATATGGAGTATATATATATATGGAGTATATATGTATATATATATGGAGTATATATATATATGGAGTATATATGTATATATATATGGAGTATATATATATATATGGAGTATATATATATATATATGGAGTATATATATATATATATTCCATTGTTGCTGATTGTTTGGTTGAAGAGGCAAGATGGTCTGAAATGATCCCAAGATGTGGACAATATGTGCTTCTCATGTGGTTCCCATTCCATTTTAAATGTTTCCAGGCAGAAACAAAGATACAAATTTCTCAATTTGTATTCAAATCTAACAGGTGTTTTATTCTATTTTCCTGTTCACACTCCCTGTTTGGGAGTCAATCAACTAAGGACATCTGAAGGAAACAGAATTTAATTCTCAGAGTCAGGAGGTGATGAGAGACTGCTTTGGTAGGGAAAGTAATAGTAAATTTGTTCTTTCTTGGTTAAATAAAGAAGAAAAAGAAAGAAGAGAGGGAGGCAGGGAAAGAAATAGAAGACATAACAATCCTAAATATGTATCCACCAAACAGGAGAGCTGCAACATATGTAAAGATAAAAAAACAGAACTTTAAAAAAAAATAGACAAATCCACAATTACTTTGGAGACTTCAAAACTTCTCTCATAATGATTGATAGAACAACTAAACAGAAAATCAGCAAGAATGTTGAAGAACTAGGCCGGGCGTGGTGGCTCACACCTGTAATCCCAGCACTTTGGGAGGCCGAGGCGGGCGAATCATGAGGTCAGGAGATCAAGACCACCCTGGCTAACACGGTGAAACCCCATCTCTACTAAAAAATACAAAAAAATTAGCCGGGCGTGGTGGCGGGTGCCTGTAGTCCCAGCTACTCTGGAGGCTGAGGCAGGAGAATGGCGTGAACCCGGGAGGCTGAGCTTGCAGTGAGCCGAGATCGCGCCACTGCACTCCAGCCTGGGCAACAGAGCAAGACTCTGCTTCAAAAAAAAAAAAGAGTGTTGAAGAACTCAAACATCTTCAGCCACCAGAATTCAGTTAACATTTATAAAACAGTCCACACAGGAAGAGCAGAACACACTAGTCAAATCCACACTGAATATAGGTAAAGGTAAAACATATCCTGGGCCATAAAACAAACCTCAACAAATTTAAAAGAATTAACTAATATGGTATAATCCCTGACCAAAATGAAATTAAAGTAAAAATCAGTCACAAAAAGACAGAAAAATGTCCAAACGCTTGGAAAATGAACAACACACTACTAAACAGTTCATACAACAAAGAGAAAACCTTAGTAGATATCAAAAAATAAGGTAGCATGAATAAAAATGAAAATACAATATATTAAAAATTCCAAGATATCCTAAAGGAGTGCTGAGAGAGAAATATACAGCACTAAGTGCATACATTAGAAAAGAAAAAAGTCCCAAATCAGTCCTCTAAGCTCTTACTTGTAGAAATCAGGTGGGAAAAAGAGCAAAATAACCCAAAGCAAATAGAAGAAAGGAAATAATAAAAAATAAAAGCAGAAATCAGTGAAATGGAACACACGCACACACACACACACAAAAATAGAAAAACAAACAAAAAGCTAGTTCCTTTCAAGGATCAATAAAAGAAGAACTCTAGCAAGATAGAAATTTTCAGCAGAGAGATGACACAGTTTACCAACATCAGGAATAAAAAGAGGACATCACTGTAGACTCAGCTGACATCAAAAGGATGAAGGAGGCTGGGAATGGTGGCCCACGCCTGTAATCCCAGCACTTTGGGAGGCCGAGGTGGGTAGATCACTTGAGGTCAGGAGTTTGAGACCAGCCTGACCAATATGTCAAAACCCCGTCTCTACTAAAAAACAAAAATTAGCTGGGCATGGTGGCAGGCGCCTGTGATCCCAGCTACTCAGGAGACTGAGGCAGGAGAATCGCTTGAACTCAATAGGCGGAGGTTGCAGTGAGCCAAGATTGCACCACTGCACTTCAGCCTGGGTGACAGAGCAAGACTCCCTCTCACAAAAACAGAACAAAACAAAACAAAAACAAACAAAAAAGAAATGGTAAATCCAACCCCACCCCTGACATAATGCAACTACAAACCCCACTGGCTGTCCTACGTGGTTTAAGTTTTTGATTGAGAATAGGCAAGGAACCCCAGGAAAAAATCTTCCCCCTCAGCAGCCACCTGATCCTGGGACCTCCTTCTTAAACTTCTAGAACAGTGCTTCTCAAACTTTAGCATCAGAGTCACTTGAGGGCTTATTCAAACACAAGAGGCTGAGCCCCATGCTCAGCAGTTCTGATTCAATAGATCTGAGGTTAGGCCTGGAATTTAGCATTCTGCTTGCAGCACCCTAATTCCCCACCCCTTGCTCTCCTGTGCAGTGTCCGCTGTGGCTGACATGCCGCTGTTTGCCTGGAGAGAACCAATAGATGCCAGGAAATTAAAAAAGAAAAAGTATGAAACACAAAGAAAATACATGACACGTGGGTATTACCTTCCTCCAAAAAATGTATCTCAAAACAAACATGTGATTGGCCTGGGGGCACACACACAGCCAGTCCTCAGCTAAGCAGGTTTCACTAGACCGTATCCCTCCTGGATGCTAGTTATAGATACTTTCACTGGACAAAAGAATCAAGAAGTAAAGACATGCCAGCCTGATAGAGTGTTAGGCTGGTGGACTGGGAATAAACATTGTAGTTTCTTGTCTCTCAAAGACACTTTAATTCAACAATAAATAAATAAATATGTACAGAGAGAACAGCAGTTTTGAAACTGTATACCATTGGAAACCTTTAACAGGTACCATGAGTGCATAGAATTTCTTGGGAGTTCCCTTTTCAAAAAAAGCAGTTGTAATCAGATGGATCGAGAAAGAACATGAAATGTTTGTTTGGTTTTTTCCAAGGCAGAAAGCGCCCACACAATTGCGATCTACTTACCTTTTACTCTGCATGTATTTTCCATTGTGACAGAAAACCTTTCCCTGGTTTTTTCTTATGGGCCTCTGTTTGCTGTTACCAGAAGTTCCCAGGCAATATTACAGTGACTGAGGAAATGCAGGAATATGAATATGAATCAGTCTTATGGAATATCAGTAGGGAATGTTGATCCGTATTAGTTTTTGCTTCTTGCATGTTGAAGGCCTCTAATTCCCGGACAGTCTTCGTTTGGCCGTCCAGCGTCCTGCCACTCCTATCTCAAGTGGCTAGAGAGCCACAGCAGTCCTTGTCTCAGTATTGGATCGCACTTATGTCCCTATGTAGGTTGACAGGGAGAGACTGGTGTAGAAATGAGTGGACAGATGCTTTCGCTCTGTTCTTTGGCCCAGAAAACAAAAATAACTTAAAAAAAAAAAGATGCCCACTGGCATTTTTCTCTCTTCTTGGTCTTTGCGTCTCTTTAATCATAGTACAAAATGGAAGGCCGGGCGCGGTGGCTCACGCCTGTAATCCCAGCACTTTGGGAGGCCGAGGCGGGTGGCTCACGAGGTCGGCAGTTCAAGACCAGCCTGACTAACATGGTGAAACCCCGTCTCTACTAAAAATACAAAAAAATTAGCTGGGCGTGGTGGCGGGCGCCTGTAATCCCAGCTACTTGGGAGGCTGAGGCAGGAGAATCTCTTGAAACCGGAAGGCGGAGGTTGCAGTGAGCCGAGGTGGTGCGACTGCACTCTAGCCTGGGCAACGAGAGCAAAACTCCGTCTCAAAAAACAAAACAAACAAACAAAAACAAAACAAAACAAAACAAAATGGGAGCGAACGCAAGCCGCCTGTGAATGTTCATGCTTTTGTTTGGGTCAGGAGACCACTGTTGCGATCCTGTTCTTTCCCCCTCGTTACTTTTTTGTCTTCCTTCTGCTGTCGCAATCGCCTTATGTGATGTTGAGGCTCACAGCATAGAGGTTGGAGATAGTTCAAGGCAATGCATTGGAGTACATTTTTACTTACTATATGTGCAGAAATAGAATAGAAAAATGTGAGGAGGCAGAGGTCTGTCGCTTGAGAACTGCCAGAGGGAAACCATCACTTGGAGGTGTCGGGGATCGAACCGAGGCCTCATACATGCAAAGCATGCGCTCTACCACTGAGCTACACCCCCTTACTATAACACCCATTTGTAATAATTTTCAGGAGGTAACTTTCATTTTCTGAGACTCCGTGAGCATGCTGGTAATAGTGGTCAGTACCATAGAGCGTGGAGAGCTACTCTGAGCAGGAGATACTTGGTACTAATGGGGGATACAGATTCTTTAGAATACTGTGTAGGACTTGAAACGAAAAACGAAAGATTAGAAAAGTGTCAGATAATAACCACAAGAAGTTTCCTTTGTGGCCTGAAGACGTTGAGTTCTTAGGGTCTGCTTCTATTATGCTTGGCAAGAATCAAGTTCTGATTTTCGTTTCTTTTGATTTCTTCCAGATATAACACAAAGCCATTGAAATTCAGCCTTTTCCTGCCTAAAACGCTTCATAATTGTTGTTTGCTCAGTCGGAATATCAAAGGTAAGATTTGATAGAGGAAAGCCATGATCAGAAGAAAACCTGAGAGCGGTGCACTCAACATTTTTTCACAGGGGTCCTTAGCTGGCGTGGTGTCTTACTCCTGTACTCACAACTCCAGAGGCTGAGGCACGAGGATCGCTTGAACTTGGGAGTTAGCGATTGTAGGGAGCTATGATTGCACCACTACCCTCGAGCCCGGACAATGGAGTGAGAAAAGCAAGCAAGCAAGCAAGCAAGAGAAAGTGGGAGTGAGGGACGGAGGGAGGGAAAGAGGGAAGGAAGGGGGGAAGGAAGGGAGAAAGGAAGGAAGGAAGGAGAAAGAGGGAGGAAGGGAAGAAAGGAAAGGAGAGAGAGAGAGAAGAAGACGGGAGGTGAGGGGAGGGAATTCATAAGGCATAAATGAAAACCAGCTTTGGGGGTGGAGATGAGGGTTGAATTATGAGAGTAAGACGAAAGATAAATAGAAACAGGATTGAAGAGTAGTTCAGAAAAACAAACATGCTATTGCCAAAGACAAGCAGGCACAGAAAAGGGGAGGTTTTAACAACTCTTTCAGGAATGGGAGAAAGATTGAAAGATGGAGAAGATGAGTTAGTTTGGCTCATGCTAAATTTAAAATATCTGTGGGGCACGCCTGTGAGGATATTACACAGAGAACTCAGGCAATTAACTCCGTCTCCAGCCTGGGGTTTGTAAGCATTAGTAGTAGTAGACACATTACATGGAGGTGGATAAAGACTAAAAAGTGTACTTTGAGATATGGAAATTACAAACCTATTCGTGATATTTGTAGGCAACAAACAAGTTTTCTTCTAACTAGTTCTCGAATCTTGGGACTTATCACGGTGAGACTGGATTCTTTGAACTATATAAGAAGATGAGAAGAAAACCCATTTCTCGGAACCAAATTTCTGGTGACGATTAACTCTTTCTCATTCTGGTTTGCCCATATATGAGCCTTTGCCAATGTTAATAAAATAACATTGATCCATTTTAAAATTGGCAGATTGCAAGTTGTATGGCAGACTTGGCTTTTCAGTTGGCTGACGGGATTTCTAGAATAAAAATAGGAAACTGAGTAATAGGTTTCACTGAATGAGAGACTAGAGAAGCGTTACACACAAAATTCATATGTATTCATGTGTGTGCGTGTCTGCCTGTCTGTGTCTGTTTGTGTGTGCATGTAAATGCTTGGGAGGATTATCTTGACTCTTTGATGCTGTAAAAGCAATATTAGGACAGTTTGCAGAAACACTCCTTCATCCTTATGTCATGTCACAGCCAGAGAAACCTGGCTGTCTATCAGATTCTTGGGAATTCATAATAAGAAGATATGCTTTTTTGTTTGCCACATGAAAGGGGGGAATTTAAAATAATTAAATATCCATATCTATCTTCAGGCTATCTACCAACAACATGATTGAAACACTTTTTTTTTTGCGTATAATGTGTAGGATGAGCTTATTTATCACAGCATTCTTCTGAGGAATTAAACATTTAATTTTGAAGACAGAACACCCTCACGTCATACATACTCAGTTCTGAAAACCTAAAAATATATAAAGTACCTGTTTAAATCTGCACTTTCCAATATGGTTACCATTAGCCACATTGGCTATTGAATGCTTGAAATTGCCCAGTCCAAGGTAAGATGTGTTGTAAGTATAAAATATATACCAGATTTCAAAGATGCAATATCATTTTTAATATAAAATAACTCACTTATAATTTTAAGATGGATTACTTAAAATAATGTTGTTATACAAGGCCATTTACGTATATTATTAAAACTGGACATAAAAGACGGAAACAGTAAACATCGGGGACTACTAGGGAGTAGCTGGGAAGGGGAAAGGCTTGAAAAGCTAACTATTGGATACTATGCTCACTACCCGGGTGACAGGATTAATCCCACCCCAACCCCAGCATCATGCAATATACCCATGTAAGAATCCTGCACATGTACCCCCTGAATCTAACATAAAAGTTGAAATTATTTTTAAAATAATATAGAGACCGGGCTCGGTGGCTCACGCCTGTAATACCAGCACTTTGGGAGACCGAGGTGGGCGGATCACCTGAGATCGGGAGTTCAAGACCAGCCTGACCAACATGGAGAAACCTCGTATCTACTAAAAGTACAAAATTGGGGCCGGGCGCGGGGTCTCACGCATGTAATCCCAGCACTTTGGGAGGCCGAGGCGGGCGTATCACGGGGTCAGGAGATCGAGACCATCCTGGTTAACACGGTGAAACCCCAATTCTACTAAAAAATACAAAAAATTAGCCAGGCGTGGTGGCAGGCGCCTGTAGTCCCAGCTACTCGGGAGGCTGAGGCAGGAGAATGGCGTGAACCCGGGAGGCGGAGCTTGCAGCGCGCGCCACTGCACTCCAGCCTGGGCGACAGAGCGAGACTCCGTCACACACACAAAAAAAAAATTAGCTGGGGTGGTGGCGCGTGCCTGTAATCCCAGCTACTCGGGAAGCTGAGGCGGCAGGAGAATCGCTTGAACCCTGGAGGCAGAGGTTGCGGTGAGCCGAGATCGCGCCATTGCACTCCAGCCTGGGCAACAAGAGCGAAACTCCATCTACAAAAAAAAAAAAAAAAAAAAAAAAAAAAGATATAGAATAAATATTGCCTGTTTTTTTTAATGTGACTACTAGAAAATTTAGAACTACAAAAGTGACTCGCATTTATGACTTGTGTTTTTTTAATTATTTTTATTCCGGAAGATAAAGTAGAAGACTTGTATTATCTTTTAATTGGACAGCATTGTCTAGAGATGATGTTATCTCTTTAAATGCTGTTCTGGGAGATTCCCAGAGCCAGAGAACATGGAGCATGGTCTCCCAGTAATTAAGTTTCATGCCTTGAGTGTTCTCGACAGAATGCATTTCTATGCATAATCTCCTTAGATCTTTACAACATCCAATTTAACATAATTATTATTAGCTACATTTTTAAGCTATTGAATAGAAGACAAATCATGCTTGGAATTACCCTAGACCTTCCCTTTCAACAGAATGTAAAGGAATCATTACCGTGTTAGGCAAGAAAACATTCAGTGCTACCATTTGACTAATCAAATATTTCTTAATGAAATGAAACACAAGCTTCTGAGTTGAGAAAGCCTCAGTGACCTAAAGGATAAAGTATCTGATTTACAGTTTCTGTAGAGTCAGTGTCCTCACCCTGAGGTTTCTTCTCATTTGGTACTAATTTTCCTTTTTCAACTTGCTGCAGTTCTGATGTTGAAGTACTGTAGATTGTTTAGTCTCCTCACACAGTATGCAGGAGTTAGGGGAAAATAACTCTCAAAATGAAACAGCAATTTGAAAGAAAAAAGGAGGGAAAAAAAAGACCCATTACCCCCAACACAGTATTTCAACAGAGAAGTTGAAGTGGAAAAGGGAAAATGAGGCACATGCACCTGAATCTTGATGACTTTGCTGCCCATTTGCTTTCATTTTCAGTATTCTAAGGCCCCTCATGAATGTCTGACAGAATAATTCATATACAAGTACTTGTTTTTGTTCTTTCCTGGATTCCAACACAGAAATTAGTTAAGATTTGGAAATTCTGGACAAGGGTGCCAGGCTTCCTGTCAGTAAGAAAACTTAGAATATTCCTGTAATTAGGCCTGGTGTGGTGGCTCAAGCCTGTAATCCCAGCATGGTGAGAGGCAGAGGTGAGCCAGGATTTCCAGAAGAGCCAGGGCAACATGGTGAAACCCAGTCTCTACCAAAAAAATTAAAAAAAAAACAAAACCAAAAAACAAACAAACAAACAAAAAGCCAGGCTTGTTGTTGCATTTCTGTAGTCTCAGCTACTCAGGAGGTTGACATAGGAGGATCGCTTGAGTCCAGGGAGGCTGAGGCTGCAGTGAGCTGTGATCATACCACTGCATTCCAGCATGGGTGACAGAGTGAGACCCTGCCTCAGAAAAACAAAACAAAGCAAAAGTTATTTTTCCAGCAGTTTAACTGCGGAGCTATGGAGTTGACTCAAGGTACAAACCCGGTTTTTTCTAATTGCAAAATGTTTCTTGAATATACCACCACCACATATATACACTCATACAGTATAATAGTTCTTCTTCTACAGGTTTCTTCACATTTCTTGTGATTTAAAAACACCCCCGCCCAACACACATAAATAACATCAGATCAGAAATGAATTGTAAGTGCCACAGCATATAGCATATTGGAATTTCTTAGGTTTTAAAAGTAATAACTTGCTAGGTTTAAGACTTTAAATAATTTACGTCCTGTCAGTTAACACTTCATGGAAGTCTTCAGTGGAGAGAGTGTTACAAATATATATATATATATGTGTTTGTGTGTAAATATATATATATAGATGTGTGTGTGTGTGTGTGTGTGTGTGTGTGTATACATTACCTTTATGGAATTTTCAGAAAACAGCCAAAAAAAAGAAAAAAGAAAAAAGAAACAAAAAAACCACAAACACCTGGAGTTATATATAGACCTCTGGGATTGGTGCGCAAGCGCTGTGTTGAAGGAGTGACAATTATGCTAAAACCAAAATGCAACTGCCGAAACCCGGGATTGAACCAGGGACCTTTAGATCTTCAGTCTAACGCTCTCCCAACTGAGCTATCTCGGCCACCGTGATCCTACTGCTTTTGTCATTTCTTCAAAATACAGAAACTGCCATTTGTAGGGTCAGTGTATCTTCCAACGCCTAATTCTGTTGTCTTCAATATCACCCGTCATTCACTCACCTCCCCTCCACCCAAGAAATATAAGTTCTGCTGCAATTTATGTGTGAAATAGGATCCAATTTTCCCCAGCAAAAGATGGGAAAGAAAAGGCGAGGAATAGGTCAAATGAGGAAGATACTCCCATGCTTGGTCACCGTATAAAACACTGCTCAGAAAACTAAGGAATTCAAAATGAAATTATGTAGGCATTTCCTTTTCTCTTTTTTCGGATTTTCTTTTTCTGGCTTGCTCTTCAATGGCATGTCATAAAGGAACAGAAGATTAGTGGACACTTTAACACGGTAGTGGGCTTATAGCTTCCGAAAAAAGACATCCTGAGCGAGGTAGTTCTTTTTTTCTATTTTCTTCCTTTTACCAGTCTTGTGCTCACACATCCACCTTGGGTGGTACGGAGACCCAGGGAGTGAAAATGGAAAGTATAATATGTTTGTTTGTTTGTTTCTTTGTTTCTTTGTTTTGAGATGGAGTCCCGCTCTGTCTCCCAGGCTGGAGTGCAGTGGCACGATCTGGACTTAGTGCAACCTCCGTCTTTCAGGTTCAAGCGATTCTCCTGACTCAGTCTCTTCCAGTAGGTGGGATTACAGGCGCGCCCCACCACGCCCAGCTAATTTTTTTGTATTATTAGTAGAGACGAAGTTTCACCATGTTGATCAGTCTGGTCTCGCCTCGGCCTCCCAAAGTGCTAGGATTACAGGCTTGAGCCACCGTTCCCGGCCTATTCCTTGGAGTTCAGAGAATTGTGGTCTGCACATTGATGCATAAGAATTGTTTTTTTTTTTCCAGCTGGGTGCAGTGGCTCACGCCTGTAATCCCAGCACTTTGGGAGGCCAAGGCGAGCAGATCGCCTGAGGTCAGGAGTTGGAGACCAGCCTGTCCAACATAGTGAAACCCCATGTTGTCTCTACTGAAAACACAAAAATTAGCCCCGCGTCGAGGCGCGCCCCTGTAGTCCCAGCTACAGAATCTCTTGAACCCAGGAGGCAGAGGTTGCAGTGAGCCGAGATCACACCACTACACTCCAGCCTGGGTGACAGAGCAAGACTCCATCTCAAAAAAAAAAAAAAAAATTGCTTTTTACATACACATCTGTAATCATGAGATTGTATTTATTTATTTTTATTTTGACAGTGTCCCACTCTGCCAGACTGGAGTGCAGTGGCAATCTCCTCTCACTGCAACTTTCACCTCCTGGCTCAATCAGTTCTTCCACCTCAGCCTAGAAGTTTTATATCAATTCAAAAGTGTCAAGACATTGGACTCCTCTTGATAAATAACTTAAGAACAATTTAAGACGTTTACAGAATTTCAGAAACAGTTCTCTCTGGAATGAGGGAATTGCTATGGCCAATAATTACTTGCAAACTGAATTTTAATAAAACCCTCTCTATGTCTGGACAGTTTTCAAACTGAGTCTCCTATTCTGAAAGAGTCAAGGCTTTCAGTTTTAGCCAAAATTTGATGGAAGGGTCGATAAGAAATTGTTCTTGAAGCCAGGAGTGGTGGCTCACGCCTGTAATCCCAGCACTTTGGGAGGCAGAGGCGGGTGGATCACCTGAGGTCAGAAGTTCGAGACCAGCCTAGTCAACATGGTGAAACCCCGTCTCTACTAAATGCACATAAATTAGCCAGGCATGGTGGCGGGCGCCTATAATCCCAGCTACTCAGGAGGCTGAGGCAGGAGAATCGCTTGAACCCGGGAAGCAGAGGTTGCAGTGACCCGAGATCGCACCACTGCGCTCCAGCCTGGGCAACAAGAGCGAAACTTCGTTTCCCCCCCAAAAAATTGTTTCTGGATGATTAGATGATTTCCTAAAAATTAAATAAATAAAATTTATAAAATTATGTTCGCTTTCAGTCTTTGTCTTGTCCTCCCGCTTGTAAGGTCCGAGCCTTCTCAGACAGGAAACAACATTCCTCTGGGTTTATCCCCTCCGCCTCACGTCTCTCCCCAGCTGGGCGCAGCCTCAGCCTATGCTGCAGAAATGTTAAAAGTTGAACATACAGAGAGGAAAAAAATGGAACGTGATGCGGAAATTAAAACAGCAGCTACATATAAATCTCAACACAGTGCTTAAAATGTGTGTAAATGGTTCTAGGACTGCGCTGCACTATTGTGAAAAGTTCATTCAGAAGTAAATGGGAGGGAAGGTGGAGAGGAGCTGAGCGCCAGCTGGCGGAGAGAGGGAAAAGGAGGGGTGCCGTGAAGTGGAGGAAGAAAAACACAAATGGGAGAGAGATAGAGGGCAAGGAAAAGCATCCTTAAGATGATTCGGACTTGGATGGACGGGACCGTAGAGTGAATCTAAGCGCCACATCTCTCCGTCGCTTCCTCTGGCCGTGAGGGAAGAGAGGTGTCCCTAGGGAGGTAGGCTGGACCAGGAAGGAGACCTGGTTCGTTTCGCCCAGGCTGTCACGGCTTCAAGAGCGCCTCTCCGCTATTTCCGTCGCTCGACAGACGGGCTGAGCTCTTTGGAGTGATGTTGGGTTTTGGTTTGCGCCTCAGGAACCGCTGATACCGTAGCTTCTGAGGGAGCTTCAGGGATTGCCTGGCTTCCTAAGTGCCCGTGTTGAGAGTTAGAAGCGGGATCTGCCGGCAGCTAAGAGACTGAGCATGACGGCGGAAACATCTAATTTTATTAGTTTTTGCTTAAAATGCAAAAGATGAGAAAAAGTTACCGTTTCTTTGCTCCATATATATCTCCTAGAATAAAGCCAATCGAAAGCCAACTTCACCCTAAAGAAACTCTTCCTGGCGTTTGCAACGAGCTCCTTTACTCCTAACGTCCAGCTCTTGGCTCAGGACCTGCAGAGCGTCACAGCTGTTGCAGAAAGGCGAAGTCGAGGTACAATCGGTGTTAACTACGTGTGCAGCCACCGTCTTCTTAGTCCTGTTACAGGTGCAGAGGCAATATAAGTGAACCACTCACAAGTCGTGTGGGCTGACCTCAGATTGAGTTTAGCGATGACTTGTGACCACCTGGTAGATGGTGGACCGTTACAGCATTTAGAAAGTGAGTAAAAGAAAGGATGCATACGGAAGCCCACACGCTTGCTTGGCTCCTGCAGATGGATAGAGGTCACTTTTCTGCCTTCTGGGTGTTTAGTAACTTATTTTTTTTTTTGCTTTGTTGGCATGAAATAAAGATGAAAATAAAAGCAGATTTTCTTTTAACAAGTTAGTATTAACATGCTTGCAGAGTATTTCCCTGTGGATTTCTGCTTAGTACTGTAATACCAGAATCAGAAACTCTACAAAGAGCTCTCTAATCTGGAGGTATGGGTTGTTCCCTAGCTTAGAAGGAGGTTATTTCTGGAGAGTAAGTACAATCAGGTAGAAAAGGATCCGTTGGGCTTGGGAGAATAAACGTTCATTACTTTTATTTATGAAAAACAACAAAATGAGCTTTCTCCTATACTGATCTTGTTTCCTGGAGTTCAGAGTATTTGCATCTCAGACCAGAAACTTCCTTGAGGACCCAGAGAAGTACTTTTTACTTCCACCAAATTTCAGCTGAGGTGACTGCTATCTTTTCATCATTTGCCTTGTGTTTGTAGTTAAATAGTTTAAGTTTCAAACTATGTGGGTCTCTAATGGAAAAAGTGACCACCAGCACATCAAATCATCAACCACCGGCAGTGTAATCTTTTAGTGAAAGCTTGTAGGGCTTCTCAACCTGGTTAGAGGGAGTTAGAAGAAGAAACAGAAAAGGACGTGAGCCTTTTTAGCTTCTGATCTGAAATCAGACTTGGGCCACACAGTTCTATGGTTTCTGATGATTTCATTTACAACTAGAAATTGGTTGCATGGCCAGGAATACTGCTTGCTTCCCTCGTGCGTGGTTCATGTTAGTGATTGGTGGACTGCTTAGAAAATATAAGTGGATAATCCTAAGCAGCAAATAGATTCAAAGGAATAAACACGAGTCACCTCTGTGTATGAGAGAGAAATGCAGAGGCCAACACAATTCACCTTGACAGACAGAAAAATTTAAAGTTGGGGAATATCATGGACCGCTTCTCACTAGTGCCCGGGGAAGAAAACAAAACCTGGAGGTATTGGGGATTGAACCCAGGACCTCGTGCATGCTAAGCACGCGCTCTACCGCTGAGCTATACCCCCTCTGGAAGACTTGCCTTTTAGAGAATATTTTGATGACTATTATTGTCTGAGTCTGGGCTCTGTGTCATGATAATCTTTATGTTTTCAATTCCACTCTCAATTTCCTACAGGAAGTGTTTCCTCTCTTAGGCCCTGCTACACCAAAAGAAAGGTAGCTTAATAGTACAAATAAAGGCACTGTTCCTGATTTGTGGTCAGTCCAAGATCAACTCACCCCACGGTGGGCTCCCCATCGCGTTAGATTTCCTGGAGCATACTTGCATTCAATCATTTGAGTGTGTCCTGGCATACAACATTCTCTTGCAAATTTTCTGATTATAATGTTCTGTATTCTTTTGACTCTTGGAAGCGTGTTAGTCTCACATGGTCAAAAAATAAAACTGACTCAAGTGTGTGTGAAAATACCCTAAAATTCAACACAAATAGAGGCAAATTAAAACTGCATTGTGAAAGAATAACATAACCCCATTGAAATAACTGATTTAAGAAAATGCTTGACAAAGTTCGTTGTTCTAATTGTAAGTACAAAAAGAAGAGGAAACAAATCTTAAACTCTATGTATGAGGGTTTTTTTTTTAGAGCTAAGGCTGCAGGAATTCTGAGATTTTGTGTGAATTTTAGGATTGGGAAAATGAGTGTGTGTGAGCGCGTGTGTTGTTGGAAACAGGCTGTCACTGTAAGAGAAAGCAGGTAAAGAATAGTCCTGTTGGTGTTGATGGGAATTGGAGGCATCAGTATGAAATTATACATATGTAATTGTATAGGCCGGGCGCGGTGGCTCACGCTTGTAGTCTCAGCACTTTGGGAGGTTGAGACGTGTGGATCGCTTCAGGTCAGAAATCGAGAACAGCCTGGCCAACATGGCAAAACGCCGTTTCTCCTAAAAATACAAAAATTTGACGGGTGTGGTGGCCGCCCCTGTAGTCCCAGCTATTCGGGAGGCTGAGGCAGGATAATCGCTTGAATTCGGGAGGCGGACGTTGCAGCGAGCCAAGATCGCACCACCGCACTCCAGCCTGGGCGACTAAGACTCTGTCTCAAAAAATAAAAATAGTACATTTTCCCTACAGATCTGTCTGCTAACTGAGCCTGGAAGAAATACCTTAGAAACAATGAGCAAGATGACTCTATATTTTGATTTTCAAATACCATTCTCTACTAAAAGGAACCAGAGATACTAATAGAAAGTAGCTACTAGTGTCAACTACACTGACTCCAGGACTGTGCCAGGGAAACTACAAGATGAACCTAAAATATCTTGCTGTGCCAGAATGATGGGGATGATTTAAAAGAACACAGAAGCTCCGGGGTGGCTCACGCCTGTAAACCCAGCACTTTGGGAGACCGAGGCGGGCGGATCACCAGAGGTTAGGAGTTCCAGACCCGCCTGGCCAACATGGTGAAGTCCCGTCTCTACTAAAAATACAAAAAATGGCCTGGCATGGTGGCTCATGCCTCTAATCCCAACTACTTGGGAAGCAGAGGTAGGAGAATCGCATGAACCCGGGAGGCGGAGGTTGCAGTGAGCCGAGATCGCACCACTGCACTCCAGCCTGGACGACAGGGCAAGACCTGTCTCAATAAATAAATAAATAATAAAGTACATGAGAAAAATAATAGTGTGTGTGTGTGTTTAGCCGTAAAGAGAGAGGAGAATCATTGTGGCAAAATATCGGGAATTGGTAAATATGAGTAACTTGTGTGTGGCAGTTCTTTGTATCATTTTTGCAACTTTTCTGTAGGTTTGAAATAATTTCAAACTAAAAAGGTTTTTCTAAATTCTCCCTTCTCAAATTTCTTTTCCCTCTTCCTTCAAGGGCTGTACTCTTCTATCAAGAGTAACGTAGATGGATACTAAAACAGAAGGGTCAGTACCGTCTCGGGGGATTTAGGTGCAGGTGAGGAGGTGAGAAAGTGGAATTCCCAGCTCTTAGAAACGAAGACCCAGGAGCGTGGGTCGCTGCCCGTCCTTACCCTGCCAGCGCCTGGGCCAGCACCATGGTCGCGAAACCCAGCATGGATTTCGTCTTGGGGACGCTATGGCTCCAGTTCTGACACTCAAGAAACGATGGATGGAGAGGAGAACGAGGACCACCTTCGAAAAGAGTTCGAGAGGGAAGCAGGGACGCGGTGGGGTGCGCACCTGCGGCGGCGGCGGCAAAGGCGGAGGAGAAGCGAAGTGGGCGAGCGCCCGAGGCTGCCAGAGGATCTGGGTGGGCCGGAAGGCGGAGTGCAGCCCGGAAGCCCATCTCCGCTGCTTTTCCTCGCTGTCCGCGATAAGCGAGAGGGCTCATTCCCTGTTGGAGAAGTGAGCTGAAAACACTTTCCTCGCAAGATCTCCCTCGTTTTGCTCAAGGCAGTCGCGGCGTTGAGAACGCCTCGCAGCTCCTTTACTGGCTGGGGCACTGGGGAGAACGGGTACCCTTGAGTTTTGGTACAGGCGGGTGGTATTAGTGGCTTCCAAGGAAACGACAGAGAAGCCGCCTATTTCCAATCCCTACTGTTAGCGAGGGGGAGAGTGTTTAACCGGGAAGAGAGACCCTCCCGCTGAAGCATAGGGTCCTTTGTTATAGATAGGAAGAGTGTTCTTTGCTTTTGTTTTTGTTATAGCTTGTCAAGCTTGGAATACAAGGCATGAAAAACAAGAAAGGTAAGGCAGTCCCAGTATATTTTAAACTTACGAGGGTTTTCAGAAGGAGTACTACCTTGTTTTTATGGAATTCAGGGTGTCCAGATTTCAACCTACCTAGCAGAGTGAAGCTCTATGAGTCTAATATCTTGGCTTTCTTCCACATCAGCAAGCCTCTGAAATTCGGGTTTCTTTCTGGACAATATCACCTACATTTTGCAGTCGGCTCCTATATTGCCTGCATCCAACTCGTGGAAGCAAGAACAGTGGGAAAAGCCAAGGTTACCACATAAAAGAAGATCCTTACATGAGACAAGTGTAAATAAAGCAGCAGCTGAGGTGTGTGTAGAGGAAGAGACAAACGTGAAAATGTAGAAAGTGGATACAGAATTTTTTCCAAGGAGGAAGAGGAATGGTCTGCTCACAACGAGGAACTCTCTACTTACTGCTGCAAAGATACTTTTATTACATTTCATGCATATGCTGGATTTTAACAACCAGAACATTGGTAGACTTGGTGGGGGCTGGAGAGACAGCAGTCACTCCCAACCCTGAGGATGAGTCCTCACCCTGAGGGTGGAGAGAAAATGATTACTCTCTGCCACAGGGCTTAGAATCGTCCAAGCCTGGGTTTCAAATTGCAAGGCCCAAATAGCTTGAGAGAGCTCCAGGTATTTCAGCTCAAAAGAGTCTCCTGGTTCAAGAGAATTCCTGTGAGTTCCTCCACAGGAAAATCAGTCTGTTGTGTGTGACCTGAAAAGTTGCATAAATATTCAAAGGGTCAAAGAAATGGTAAATTCAACCCCATCCCTGACATAAGACGAATACAAACCTCACTGGCTTTCCTAGGTTTGTGTTTTTGATTGAGAATAGGCAGGGAACCCCAGGACCAACTCTTCCTCCTCAGCAGGTGCCTGACCCTGGGACTTCCTGAAACTTCTAGAGCAGTGCTTCACAAACTTTAGCATCAGAGTCACTTGAAGGCTTATTCAAACACAGGAGGCTGAGCCCCATCCATACTCAGCAGTTCTGATTCAATAGACCTAAGGTTGGGCCTGAAATTTATTATTCTGATTGCAGCACCCTAATCCTCCACCCCTTGCTCTCCTATGCAGTGTCCACTGTGGCTAACATGCCACTGTTTGCCTGGAGAGAACCAATGGATACCAGGAAATTAAAGAAGAAAAAGTATGAAACAAAAAGAAAATACATGGCATGTGTGTATTACCTTCCTCCAAAAAATGTGTCTCAAAACAAACATATGATTGGTCTGGAGGCACACACACAGCCAGTCCTCAGCTAAGCAGGTTTCATCAGACAGTATCCCTCCTGGATGCTGGTTATAGATATTCTCACTGGACAAAAGAATCAAGTAAGGTCATGTTAGCCTCATAGAGTGTATCTATCATGCCAGCCTGATAGGCTGGTGGACTAGGAACAAACATCATACTCTCTTGCCTCTCAAAGACACTTTAATTCAATAGGAAATATGTACAGAGAGAACAGCAGTTTTGAAACCATACACCGTTGGAAACCATAAAAGGTTTCATGAGTGCATAGGATTTCTTGGGAGTTCCCTCTCCAAAAAAAGCGATGTAATCAGGTGGATCGAGAAAGAACATGAAATGTTTGTTTGTTTTTTCCCAAGGCAGGAAGTGCCCAACACACCTGCGATCTACTTATCTTTTAGTCTGCATGTATTTTGCATTGTGACAGAAAACCTTTTCCTAGTTTTTCATATGGGGCCTCCGTTTGCTCTTACCAGAAGTTCCCAGGCAATATTTTATTGTAAAGAGGAAAATGGAGTGACTGAGGAAATACAGGAATACAAATCAGTCTTATGGAACATCAGTAGGGAATGTTGATCCGTATTGGTTTCTGCTTCTCGCACGTTGAAGGCCTCTAATTCCCCGACAGTCTTCGTGTGGTTATCCAGCGCCCTGCCACTCCCATCTCAAGCGACTGGAGAGCCACAGCCCTTGTCTCAGTACTGGATCACACTGGTAGCTGTGTTCTCCGCGCAGGTAGACAGGGAGAGACTGGTGGAGAAATCAGTGAACAGAGGCTTTCGCTCTGTTCTTTGGCCCAGAAAACAAAAATAACTTAAAAAAAAATAGATGCCTTCAGGGCGCTTTTCTCCCTTCTCCTTTGTCTTTGCGTCTCATTAATCATAGTACAAAATGGGAGTGAAAGCGAGCCGCCTGTGAATGTGCACGCTTTTGTTTGGGTTCAAGAGACCGTGTTGCGATCCCGTTCTTCTTTCCCCCTCATTTCTTGTTTGTCTCCCTTCTGCTGTGGCAATCGCCTTTGGTGATGTCGAGGTTCACAGCATAACCAGTGGAGATAGTTCAAGGCTGAACATTGGGCTACACTTTTACTGTCTATATGTGCAGAAATAGGATAGAAAAACGTGAGGAGGCAGAAGTCTGTCGCTTGAAAACTACCAGAGCAAAACCATCGCTTGGAGGTGTCGGGGATCGAACCCGAGGCCTCATACATGCAAAGCATGCGCTCTACCACTGAGCTACACCCCCTTACTATAAGGTCTCTTTGTAATAATTTTCAGGAGGTAACTTTCATTTCCTGAGACTCCGTGAGCATGCTGGTAGTAGTGGTCAGTATTATGGAGTGCGGAGAGCTGTTCTGAGCAGGAGATACTTGGTACTAATGGGGGATACAGATTCTTTAGAATACTGTGTAGGACTTGAAACGAAAAACGAAAGATTAGAAAAGTGTCAGATAATAACCACAAGAAGTTTCCATTGTGGCCTCAAGACGTTGAGTTCTTAGGGTCTCCTTCTATTATGCTTGGCAAGAATCAAGTTCAGGTTTTCGTTTCTTTTAATTTCTCCCAGATACGACACAAAGCCATTGAAATTCAGCCTTTTCCTGCCTAAAACGCTTCATAATTGTTGTTTGCTCAATCGGAATATTAAAGATAAGATTTGATGGAGGAAAGCCACAATCAGAAGAAAACCTGACAGCGATGCACTTAGCATTTTTTCATAAGGGTCCTTAGCTGGCGTGGTGTCTTACGCCTGTACTCCCAGCTACTCTAGAGGCTGAGGCACGAGGATCGCTTGAGCTCGGGAGTTAGTTGTTGTAGGGAGCTATGACTGTGCCACTGTCCTCCAGCCTGGGCAACAGAGAGAGAAGGGAAGGGGAGGGGAGGGAAAGGGGGAGAAGAGGGGAGACGAGGGGAGAAGAGGGGAGGGGAGGGGAAGGGATTCATAAGGCGTGAATGAAAAACAGCTATGGGGATGGAGAGAAGGGTTGAATTATGAGAATAAGACCGAAGATAAATACAAACAGGGTTGAAGAATGCTTTAGAAAAACAAACACAGCAGGTGCAGAAAAGGGGAGAGGTTTTAACAGCTCTTTTAGGAATGAGAGATAGACTGGAAGATGGAGAAGATGAGTTAGTTTGGCTCATACTCAATTTAAAGTATCTGTGGGGCACACTTGTGAGGATGTTTCTCAGAGAATTCAGGCAATTAACTCTGTCTCTAGCCTGGGATTTGTAAGCATTAATAGTAGTAGACACATTACATGGAGGATGGATAAAGACTAAAAAAGTGTACTTTGAGATATGGAAATTACAAACCTATTCGTGATATTTGTAGTGAACAAACAAGTTTGTTTGTTCTTGAATTCAAAAGTTCTTGAATCTTGGGACTTATCGTGTGTCCTTTGAATTACATAAGAAGATGAGAAGAAAACCTATTTCTCAGCACCAAATTTCTAGTGACTATTAACTCTTTCTCATTCTGGTTTGCCTATATAAGAGCCTTTGCCAATGTTAATAAAGTAACATTGATGGCTTTCAAAATTGCCAAATTGCAAGTTGTATGTCAGACTTGGCTTTTCAGTTGGCTGATGGGATTTCTAGAATAAAAATAGGAAACACTGAGTGATAGACTTCACTGAAGGAGAAACTAGAGAATTGTTATAGACAAAATTGATGTGTATTCATGTGTGTTTGCCTGCCTGACTGTGTCTGTGTGTGTGCATGTAAATGATGGGAAGGATTATCTTGGCTCTTTGATGCTGTAAAAGCAATATTAGGACAGTTTGCAGAAACTCTCCTTCATCTTTATGTTGTGTTACACCCAGAGAAACTTGGCTGTCTATTGGATTCTTGGGAATTCATAATAAGAAGGTTGCCTCATAAAAATGGGAGAATTTTAAATAATTAAATATCTGTAGCTATCTTCAGACTATCTACCAGCAACACGATTGAAACATGTTTTTTGTGTGAAATCTGTAGGATGAGCTCATTTAACATAGCATTCTTCTGAGAAATTAAACATTTAATTTTGAAGACAGAACACCCTGTCATACACACTCAATTTCGAAAACCTAAAAATATATAAAGTATATGTTTAAATCTGCACTGTCCAATATGGTTACCATTAGCCACATTGGGTATTGAGTACTGAAAATTGCCTAGTCTAAGTTAAGATGTGTTGAAAGTGAGAAATATATACCAGATTTCAAAGATGTAATTTTTTTTTCATGGAGTCTCGCTCTGCCACCTAACCTGGAGTGCAGTGGTGCAATCTTGGCTCACAGCAACCTCCACCTGTTGGGTTCAATCCATTCTCCTGCCTCAGCCTCCTGAGTAACTGGGACTACAGGCGCGCACCACCATGCCTGGCAATTTTTCTTTTTCTTTTTTTTTTTTTTTAGTAGAGACAGGGTTTCACCATGCTGGCCAGGCTGGTCCCAAACTCCTGACCTTGTCATCTGCCCTCCTCGGCCTCCCAAAGTGCTGGGATTACAGGCATGGGCCGCCGCACCTGGCCAGATGTAATATCATTTTTTAAACATAAAATGTCTCACTGATAATTTTAAGATTGATTACTTGTTAAAATAATATTTTGGACATGCAAGGTGATTTACATATATTAGTAAAACTGGACATAAAAGATGGAAACAATAGACACTGGGGACTACTAGAGGGGGAGGCGAGAAGGGGAAAGGCTTGAAAAGCTAACTATTGGATACTATGTTCACCACCCAGGTGATGGGATTAATCTCACCCCAACCCCAGCATCATGCACTATACCCATGTAACAAACCTGGACATGTACCCCCTGAATCTAAAATAAAAGTTGAAATTATTATTATTAGTATTATTATTTTGAGACAGAGTCTTGCTCTGTCTCTCAGGCTAGAGTACAGTGGCGCTATCTGGGCTCACTGCAAACTCCTCCTCCAGGTTTCAAGTGATTCTCCTATCTCAGACTCCCAAGTAGCTGAAATTACAGGCATGCACCACCACACCCAGCTAATTTTTGTATTTTTATTAGAGACAGGGTTTCACCATATTGGTCAGGTTGGTCTTGAACCCCTGACCTCAGGTGTTCCGCGCACCTCGGCCTCCCAAAGGGCTGGGATTACAGGTATGACCCACCTTGCCTATCTAAAAGTTGAAATTGTTAAAAAATTATATAAAATAAGTATTGCCTGTTTATTTTTTAAATGTGACTACTAGAAAATTTAAAACTACAGAAGTGGCTCTCATTTAAGATTTGTATTAACTTTTTTAAAAATTCTTTTTATCCCAGAAGCTAAAGCAGAAGACTTGTAGTATCTTTTGATTGGACAGCATTGTCTAGAGACGATGTTATCTATTTAGGTGCTGTTCTGGGAGAATCCCAGAGCCAAAGGACATGGAGCATGGTCTGCCAGTAATTAGGTTTCATGCCGCGAGTGGACTTGACTAAATGCATTTCCATGCATGATCTCCTTAGACCTTTGCAACATCCCATTTTACATAATCATTATTAGCCTCATTTTTAAGGTATTGAATGAGAGACGAATCATGCTTAGAATTACCCTAGGCGTTTCATTTCAACAAAATGTAAAGGAATCACTACTGTGCTAGGCAAGAAAACATTCAATCCTGCCATTTGTCTAATCAAATGTTTCCTTTTTTTTTTCTTTTTTTAAGACAGAGTCTTGCTCTTGTTGCCTAGGGTGGAGTGCAATGTTGCGATCTTGGCTCACTGCAACCTCCGCTTCCCGGGTTCAAGGGATTCTCCTGCCTCAGCCTCTCGAGTAGCTGGGATTACAGGCATCCACCACCACACCCAGCTAATTTATTATTATTATTATTATTATTGTTATTATTATTATTTTGTATTTTTAGTAGTGACAGGGTATCACCATGTTGGCCAGGCAGGTCTTAAACTTCTGATCTCAGGTGATCTACCCGCCTCAGCCTCCCAAAGTGCTGAGATTACAGGCGTGAGCCACCACGCCCAGCCTATCAAATATTTCTTAATGAAATAAAACACAGGCTTCTGAGTTGAGAAAGCCTCAGTGACTTAAAGGGTAAAGTATCTGATTCCTAGTTCCTGTACAGTCAATGTCCCCACCCTGAGGTTGGTCTCTCATTTGGTACCAATTTTCCTTTCACAATTTGATGCAGTTCTGATGTTGGAGTACTGTAGTTTATTGTCTCCTCACACAGTATGCAGGTGTTAGGGGAAAATAACACTGAAAATGAAACACCAATTTGAAAGAAGAAAAGATATTAAAAATGACCAAAAAAAATCAGACAAAAAAAAAAAAAAAAAAAAACAGGACAAAAAAGGCCCATTATCCCAACACAAAATTTCAAGAGAGGAGTTGAAGTAAAAAAAAGGAAAATGGGGCACATCCACCTGAGTCTTGACAGAATAATTAATTTAGAAATACTTATTTTTGACTGGACGCAGTGGCTCACATCTATAATCCCAGCACTTTGGGAGGCCGAGGCAGGTAGATCACGAGGTCAGGAGTTGGAGACCAGGCTGGCCAACATGGTGAAATCCCGTCTTTACTAAAAATACAAAAATTAGTCAGGCATGGTGGTGGACGCCTGTAATCCCAGCTGCTTGGGAGGCTGCAGCAGGAGAATTGCTTGTGCCGGGGAGGCGGAGGTTGCAGTGAGCTGAGATCGTTCCACTGCACTCTAGCATGGGTAACATAGCAAGATTCTGTCTCAAAAAAAAAAAAAAAAAGAAAAAAGAAAGAAAGACTTATTTTTGTTCTTTCCTGGATACCAATGAGGAAATAACTTAAGATTTGGAAATTCTAGGCAAGGTTTCCAGGCTAAAGAAATGTCCTGTCAGTAAGAAACTTAAAAATATTCCTGTAATTAGGACTGGTGCGGTGGTTCCCACCTGTAATCCCAGCACGTAGGGAGGCAGAAGCGGGCAGGTTGCTTGAGCCCAGGATTTCAAGAACAGCTGGGGGAACATGGTGAAACCCAGTTTCTACAAAAAAAAAGTACAAAAGAGAGAGAGAGAAAGCCAGGCTTGTTGTTGCATTTCTGTAGTCTCAGCTACCCAGGAGGCTGACATGGGAGGATCGCTTGAGTCCAGGGAGGCTGAGGCTGCAGTGAGCTGTGATCATACCACTGCACTCCAGCATGGGTGACAGAGTGAGACCCTGCCTCAAAAAAACAAAACAGGGCCGGGCGCGGTGGTTCACACTGTAATCCCAGCACTTTGGGAGGCCGAGGTGGGTGGATCACGAGGTCAGTAGATCGAGACCATCCCAGCTAACATGGTGAAACCCCGTCTCTACTAAAAATACAAAAAATTAGCTGGGCGTGGTGGTGGGCGCCTGTAGTCCCAGCTACTCGGGAGCCTGAGGCAGGAGAATGGCGTGGACCCGGGAGGCGGCGCTTGCAGTAAGCCGAGATCGTGCCACTGCACTACAGCCTGGGCGACAGAGCGAGACTCCGTCTCAAAAAAAAGAAAGTTATTTTCCCAGCAGTTTAACTGCAGAGCTATGGAGTTGACTCAAGATACAAACCGAGGTGTTTCTTTCTTTTTTTTTTTTTGAGACGGAGTGTCGCTCTGTCACCCAGGCTGGATTGCAGTGGTGCGATCTCAGCTCACTGCAAGCTCCGCCTCCCGGGTTCACGCCATTCTCCTGCCTCAGCCTCCTGAGTAGCTGAGACTACAGGCGCCCGCCACCGCGCCCCACTAATTTTTTTGTACTTTTAGTAGAGACGGGGGTTTCACCGTGGTCTCGATCTCCTGACCTCGTGATCCACCCGCTTCGGCCTCCCAAAGTGCTGGGATTACAGGCCTGAGCCACTGCGCCCGGCCAAACCGAGGTTTTTGGAATTGCAAAATGTTTCTTGAATATACCACTACCACATATATACACTCATACAGCATAATAGTTCTTCTACAGGTTTCTTCATAGTTCTTGTGATTTAAAACACCCCTGCCCAACACACATAAATAACATCAAATCAGAAATGAATTGTAATTGCCACAGTCTATAGCATATTGGAATTTCTTAGGTTTTAAAATTAGTAACTTTCTAGATTTAAGATTTTAAATAATTTACATACCATCAGTTAACACTTCATGGAAGACTTCAGTGGAGAGAGTGATACAAATATACATACATATATATATACATTACCTTTATGGAATTTTCAAAAAGCAAAAAATGGGAGTTATATATAGACCTCTGGGATTGGTGTGCAAGTGTTGTATAAAGGAAAGACAATTATGCAACAACCAAAAGGTATCTGCCGAAACCCGGGATTGAACCAGGGACCTTTAAGATCTTCGGTCTAACGCTCTCCCAACTGAGCTATTTCGGCTACTCTGGAGCTGTCCCGTTGGTCATTTCTTCAAAATATAAAAACTGCAATTTGTAAGGTCAGTGTATCTTCCAACGCCTAATTCGGTTGTCTTCAATATCACCCGTCATTCACTCACCTCCTCCCAATCCAAAAATATAAATTCTGCTGTAATTTATGTATGAAAATAGGATCCAATTTTCCCCGGCAAAAGACGGGAAAGAAAAGACGAGACGGCCGGGCACGGTGGCTCACGCCTGTAATCTCAGCATTTTGCGAAGCCGTGGAGGGTGGATCACTTGAGGTCAGGAGTTCAAGACCAGCCTGGCCAACATGGTGAAATCCCTTCTTTACAAGAAATATAAAAATTAGCCAGGAGAGGTGGCGCACGCCTGTAGTTTCAGCTACTTCGGAGGCTGAGGCAGGAGAATCGCTTGAACCAGGGAGTTCGAGGCTGCAGTGAGCCGAGATCGCGCCACTGCACTCCAGCCTGGGCGACAGCGAGACTCTGTCTCTAAAAAAAAAAAAAAAAAAAAAAAGGCGAGGAATAGGTCAAATCAGCAAGATAGATGCTCCCATGCTTGGTCACCTTGGAAACACCGCTCAGAAAACTAAAGGAAACTATCTAAAACTAAAATGAAATTATCTAGACTTTTCCTTTTCTCTCCTTTTGGCTCTTTTTTGTTTTGTTTTCTGTCTTGCTCTTCAATGACATGGCAAAAAGGAACAGAAGATTATTGAACACGTTAACCTGGTAGTAGGTTTATAGCTTCCGACTGAAGAAATCCTGAGCGAGCCAATTCTTTTTCTCTGTTTCCTTCCTTTTACTGATCTAGTGCTAACACATCCACCTTAGGTGGTACAGAGAGCCAGGGGTGGAAAAGGCAAGCATATGTTTATTTTAGTGTGACCACGCTATATATATATATATATATATATATATATATATATATATATATATACACACACATATAAATATGAAATATATATAAATTAAAAATGTAAATATATTGTTGATATAGATATTATATATAATATAAAATATACATGTATCTCTCTCTCTATATATATATATAGAGAGAGAGAGAGAGAGAAGATTCCAGCGAGTGAGAGAGAGAGAGAGAGAGACAGGGTCCCACTCTGCCAGCCTGGAGTGCAGTGGCAATCTCCTCTCATTGCAACTTTCGCCTCCAGGCTCAATCCGTTCTCCCACCTCAGCCTAGAAATTCTTATATCACTTCAAAAGTGTGAAAACATTGGACTCCTCTTGTTAAATAACTTAGAAACAATTTCAGAGTTTACCGAATTTCAGAAACAATCCTCTCTGGAATGAGGAAATAGCTACAGCCAACAACGACTTGCAAATTGAATTTTAATAAAACCGTCCCTATGTCTGGACAGTTTTCAAACTCAGTCTCCTATTCCGAGAGAGTCCAGGCTTTCTGTTTTTAGCCAAAATTTGTTGGGAGGGTCAATTAAAATATTTTTTGAATAATTTCCTCAAAAATTTTAGATTCTCTTACAGGCTTTTTTCTTTTTTTCTCTCCCTCTTGTAAGGCCCGAACCTCCCCAGACAGGAAACAACATTCCTCCAGGTTTATCCCCGCCGCCTGACGTCTCTCCCCATCTGGACGCAGCCTCAGCCTATGCTGCAGAAAACGTTTGAAGTTGAGCATATAGAGAAGGAAAAAAAAAAAAAGGAAAGTGATGTGGAAATTAAAACAGTGGCTACATATAAATCTCAGCACAGTGCTTAGAATGTGTGTAAATGGTTCTAGGAGTGCACTGCACTATTGTGAAAAGTTCATTCAGAAGTAAACGGGAGGGAAGGTGGAGAGGAGCCGAGGGCCAGCTGGCGGAGAGAGGGAAGAGGCGGGGTGCGGTGAAGTGGAGAAAGAAACATAAAAAGGGAGAGGGGTAGAGGACAAGGAAAAGCATCCTCAAGATTATTAGGATTTGGATGGACGGGATGTTAGAGTGAGTCTAAGCACTCACCTCTCCGTCGCTTCTTCTGGATATGAGGGAAGAGAGGTAGGGAGGTAGGCTAGACCAGGAAAGGGACCTGGTTCTTTTCGTCCAGACTGCCACGGCTGCGAGAGCGCCTCGCCGCTCTTTCCATCGCTCGATAGACAGGCTAGGCTCTTTGGAGGAGCACGTGATGTTGCGTTTTTTGTTTGCGGGTTCGGGAACCGCTGATACTGATAGCTTCTGAGGGAGCTGCAGGGATTTCCCGATTTCCTGAGTGTCTGTGTTGAGAGTTAAAAGCGGAATCTGCCGACAGCTTCGAGACTGAGCAGGACAGTGGAAACGTCTAATTTTATTAGGCTTGAAATGCAGAAGATGAGAAAGAAAGTTCCCGTTTGTTTGCTCCACATGTTTCCTTTAGAATGAAGCCGATTGGAAGTCAACTTCACCCTGAAGAAATTCCTCCTGGCGTTTACAATGAGCTTCTTTACTCCCCAAGTCCAGCTCTTGGCTCAAAAGGGCTCTGCAGGTTGGTACAAAGGCTGCGGAAAGGCGAAGTCGCGGTACAATCGGTGTTAACTACATGTGCAGCCACCGTCTTCTTAGTCTTATTACAGGTGCAGAGGTAATATAGGTGAATCCCTCACAAGTTGAGTGGGTTGACCTCAAAATTGACTTTAGCGATGGCTTGTGACCACCTGGTAGGTGGTGGACCATTACAGCGTTTGGAAAATGAGTAAAACAAAGGATGCATACGGAAGCCCCACTAGCTTGCTTGGCTTCTGCAGATGCAGAGAGAGGTCGTTTTTCTGCCTTCTGGGTGTTGAGTAACTTAATTTTTTATCTTTTGTTTAAATGAAATAGAGCTGAAAATAGAAGGCGATTTCCTTTTAACGAGATAGTATTGAGATGCTTGCAGAGTATCCCCGCGTGGATTCTGCTTAGCTCTGTGATACCAGCATCAGAAACTGTGCAAAGAGCTCTAATCTGGAGGTGTGGGTTGTTCAGTAGCTTAGAAAGAGGTTATTCCTGGAGAATAAGTGCAGCAGGTAGAAAAGGATCCATTGGGATTGGGAGAATAAAAGTTCATTCATTATTTTTATTGATGGAAAACAAAGAAATGAGCTTTACCCTATACTGATCTTGGTTCCTGGAGTTCCGAGTGCTTGCATCTCAGGGCAGAAACTTCCTTAGAGGACCCAGAGAAATATGTTCCCCCTACCAAATGTCAGCTGAAGTGACTGTGATCTTTTTCTCATTTGTCATTATATTTGCCATTTATTGTATTCTTGTAGTTAAATAGTTTACATTAAGTTTTAGAGTTTGTGGGTTTCTAATGGAAAAAGTGACCACCAGCACATCAGGTCCTCAGCCACTGGCAGTGAAATCTTTTAGTGAAAGCTTGTAGGGCTTCTGCAACCTGGGTTAGAAGAAGAAATACAAGGCCAAGCATGGTAGCACACGCCTGTAATCCCAGCACTTTGGAAGTCTGAGGTGGGCAGATCACCTGAGGTCGGGAGTTCTAGACTAGCCTGACCAACAGGGAGAAACCCCCATCTCTACTAAAAATACAAAATTAGCCAGGCATGGTGGTGCATGGTTGTAATCCCAGCTACTCAGGAGGCTGAGGCAGGAGAATCACTTGAATCCGGGAGGCAGAGGTTGTGGTGAGCCAAGATTGTGCTATTGCACTCCAGCCTGGGCAACAAGAGTGAAACTCTGTCTCAAACAAACAAACAAACAAACAAACAAACACCACACGCAGGAAAGGACTTGCGCCACGTGGTTCTATGGTTTCTGATTATTTCATTTACAACTAGAAATAGGCTGGAGGGCCAGGAGTAGTACTTGCTTCCATAGTGCGTGGTTCACCTTAGTGACTGCTGGGACTGCTTAGAAAGAATAGGTGGATAATCGTAAGCAGCAAATAACCTTAAGTGAATGAACACGAATTACCTCTCTGTATGAGAGAGAGATGTAGAGGTCAACCCAAATATCTTGACAAGGCAGGACATTCTGGACAGCTGGGGAAGGTCATGGAGCTCTTCTTACAGTGCCACAGGGAAGAAAATGGACCTCTGGAGGTACTGGGGAATCAGCCCAAGACCTCGTGCATGATAAGTACACTCTCTACCACTGAGCTATACCCCCTCATACCTCCTGTGTATTTGGAAAACTGGTGACCACCATTATCTGAGTATGTGCTCTATGTCATAAAGACAATTACCATGTGTTTCCAATTCCACTGTTTATGATTTCCCTATATCTAAGTGCCCCCTCTCTTAGGCACGGTTACATCAAGAAAAGGTACGTTAACAGTAAAAAGAAAAACACTGTTCCTGATTTGGGATCAGCAAATCTATTTCCAAATAGAGCATTTCAAAAGTATAACATAACCACATTGAAAATTCAGGAAAGAATTGACCTAAGAAAATGGTTTATACATTGTTCTCATTGTAAAAAGAAAAAGAACAGCAAGCATATCTTAAACTCTATGTATCAGGAATATTTTCTGTAATGCTAAGGCAATAGCAATTCTGATATTTTGTGTGAATTTTAGGATTGGAAAAATGAGCATGTGTGCGCCTGTATGTTGTTGGAACCAGGCTCTCACTGTGGGAAAGGAGGAAGGTAAAGAATAGTCCTATTGGTGATGATGGGAATTAGAGGCATCAGTATGAAATTATACACTTAATTGTAAAATTTCTCCACAGATCTCTCTGCTAATTGGGCCTAGAAGAAATGATACCTCAGATGCAATGAGCAAAGATAATTCTATATATTGATTTTCAAATACCACTCCCTACTAAAAGGAACCAGCGATACTGATAGAAAGTAGCTACTGGTGTCAACTACACTGACTCCGGGACTGTGCCAGGGAAACTACAAGATGAACCTAAGATATCTTGCTGTGCCAGAATGTAGGTGCTCAGAATTGATGGGTATGATTTGAAAGGACAGAGAAGCCAGCTTGAAAGGGATCTCAATGGCCAAATCTGACACATTTTGAGCATTAATGATGACAATAAGTGATTATCAATCTTGGGAACTTAAACACATAAATATGGAAGATGGGAAGATTTTCCTTACAGTTGTGTGCCAAGTGATAAATGTGGAAGTAAGGATAAAATTAGAAAATCCTCATTTGGGCTGGGCGTGGTGGCTCACGTCTGTAATTCCAGCACTTTGGGAGGCCGAGGCAGGGGGATCACCTGAGGTTGGGAGTTCGAGACCAGCCTGACCAACATGGAGAAACCCCGTCTCTACTAAAAATACAAAACTGTGGTGAGCCGAGATCACACCATTGCACTCCAGCCTGGGCAAGAAGAGCGAAATTCTATCTCAAAAAAAATAATAATAATAATAATAAATAATGAGAAAAACTGACATCACATGCCTCTTGGTGTGATAGAGGGTAACATGATTTCTGTGACATTTCCATGACCTGAATGTAACCATGACTACACAAATTAAGAAACATTCAACAAAACCACTGGCATATGCTCTTCAAAAACATATTCATGAAAGACAAGAAGATTAAGAATCTGTTCCAAAGTGAAGGAGACTGAAAAGTCAAGACAACTAGATTCATATGTGATTCTGAAATGGCACCTAGTTTGGGAGAGAAATTCCTATAAAAGATTTTATTGATACAATTAAAATTTTTATAGACTGTATATTAGAGAATACTATTTTATCAATGTTAAGTTCTCTAAATTTGATAATTGTGCTGTGGTAAGAAATTGACCTTGTTCTTAGGAAATACACATTGAAGTATTTAGGAATAAAAAGATATAATGTCTGAAAATCATTATCAAATAGTTTAGAGAAATAATTTTTGTCATATGTACATATACATATATATACACACACACATACACACACACACATATATATTCCACTGTTGCTGATTGGTTGTTGAGGTGAGGAAGAGGCAAGACCGTGTTCTGAAATAATGTCAAGATTTGGACGATATGTGTTTCTCAAATGGTTCCCATTCCATTTTAAATGTTGCTAGGCTGAGACAAAGATACAAATTCCCCAATTTATATTAGAATTTAGCAGGTAGTTTATTTTGTTTTGTTTTGAGACAGAGTTTTGCTCTTGTTGCCCAGGCTGGAGTGCGATGGGAGGATCTTGGCTCACTGCAAACTCTGCCACCTGGGTTCAAGCAATTCTCCTGCCTCAGACTCCCAAGTACCTGGGATTACAGGTGTGTGCCACCACTCCCGACTAATTTTGTATTTTTAGTAGAGATGGGGGTTTCACCATGTTGGTCAGGATGGTCTCAAACCCCCAACCTGAGGTGATCTGCCCGCCTCGGCCTCCCAAAGTGTTGGGATTACAGGCGTGAGCCACTGTGCGCAGCCAACTCCTTTATAATCTTATAAGACCACCGTAGGATATGTGGTCTGTGGTTTACTAAAATGTCAACATGTAGCACATTACTGCACTCATATCAGATTTTTGGCCTCCAGAAGTGTGAAAGAATAAATTTCTGTTGTTATAAGCCATCTAATTTGAGATAATTTGTTACAGCAGCCATAGGAAACTAATCAATGACAAGCTTATTCTACTCTGCCAACTGCCTTGAGTGGTTTTGAGGCTCATGAAGTCTAAATAACGTAATATTGAAATTAACATCTTGGCAAAATTCAACAGCCCTTCATGCTAAAAACTCTCAATAAACTAGGTATTGATGTGATGTATCTCAAAATAATAAGAGCTATTTATGAAAAACCCACAGCCAATATCATATTGAATGGGCAAAAACTGGAAGCATTCCCTTTGAAAACTGGCACAAGACAGGGATGCCCTCTCTCATCACTCCTATTCAACATAGTGTTGGAAGTTCTGGCCAGGGCAATCAGGCAAGAGAAACAAATAAAGGGTATTCAGTTAGGAAAAGAGGAAGTCAAATTGTCCCTGTTTGCAGATGACATGATTGTATATTTAGAAAACCTCATCATCTCAGCCCAAAATCTCCTTAAGCTGATAAGCAACTTCAGCAAAGTCTCAGGATACAAAATCAATGTGCAAAAATCACAAGCATTCCTATACACCAGTAACAGACAGAGAGCCAAATCATGAGGGAACTCCCATTCACAATTGCTACAAAGAGAATAAAATACCTGGGAATCCAACTTACAAGGGATGTGAAGGACCTCCTCAAGGAGAATTACAAACCACTGCTTAACAAAATAAATGAGGACACAAACAAATGGAAGAACATTTCATGCTCATGGATAGGAAGAATCAATATCATGAAAATGGCCCTACTGCCCAAGGTAATTTAAAGATTCGGTGCGATCCCCATCAAGCTACCAATGACTTTCTTCACAGAATTGGAGAAAAACTATTTTAAAGTTCATATGGAACCAAAAAAGAGCCTGCATTGCCAAGACAATCCTAAGCCAAAAGAACAAAGCTGGAGGCATCATGCTACCTGACTTCAAACTATACTATATGGCTACAGTAACTGAAACAGCATGGTACTGGTACCAAAACAGAGATATAGACCAATGGAACAGAATAGAGCCCTCAGAAATAATACCACACGTCTACAACCATTTGATCTTTGACAAACCTGACAAAAACAAGAAATGGGGAAAGGATTCCCTATTTAATAAATGGTGCTGAGAAAACTGGCTAGCCATATGTAGAAAGCTGAAACTGGATCCCTTCCTTACACCTTATACAAAAATTAATTCAAGATGGATGAAAGACTTAAATGTTAGACCTAAAACCATAAAAACCCTAGAACAAAACCTAGGCAATACCATTCAGGACATAGGCATGGGCAAGGACTTCATGTCTAAAACACCAAAAGCAATGGCAACAAAAGCCAAAATAGACAAATGGGATCTAATTAAACCAAAGAGCTTCTGCACAGCAAAAGAAACCACCATCAGAGCGAACAGGCAACCTACAGAATGGGAGAAAATTTTTGCAACCTACCCATCTGACAAAGGGCTAATATCTAGAATCTACAAAGAACTTAAACAAATTTACAAGAAAAAATCAAACAACCCCATCAAACCCCAACAAAAAGTGGGCAAAGGATATGAACAGACACTTCTCAAAAGAAGACATTTATGCAGCCAATGGACACATGAAAAAATGCTCATCATCACTGGCCATCAGAGAAATGCAAATCAAAACCACAATGAGATTCCATCTCACACCAGTTAGGATGGCAATCATTAAAAAGTCAGGAAACAACAGGTGCTGGAGAGGATGTGGAGAAATAGGAACACTTTTACACTGTTGGTGGGACTGTAAACTAGTTCAACCATTGTGGAAGACAGTGTGGCGATTCCTCAAGGATCTAGAACTAGAAATACCATTTGACCCAGCCATCCCATTACTGGGTATATACCCAAAGGATTATAAATCATGCTGCTATAAAGACACATGCACACGTATGTTTATTGTGGCACTATTCACAATAGCAAAGACTTGGAACCAACCCAAATGTGCCTTCTATATGTAAGGCACATGTCCATCAATGATAGACTGAATTTAACAAACGTGGCACATATACACCATGGAATACTATGCAGCCATAAAAAAGGATGAGTTCATGTCCTTTGTAGGGACATGGATGAAGCTGGGAACCATCATTCTGAACAAACTATCACAAGGACAGAAAACCAAACACTGCACGTTCTCACTCATAGGTGGGAATTGAACAATGAGAACATTTGGACACAGGGTGGGGAACATCACACACCGGGGCCTGTCGCGGGGTGGGGTGATAGGGGAGGGATAGCATTAGGAGAAATACCTAATGTAAATGAGGAGTTAATGGGTGCAGCACACCAACATGGCACATGTATACATATGTAACAAACCTGCACGTTGTGCACAGGTACCCTAGAACTTAAAGTATAATGATTAAAAAAAAAAATCTTAAAAAAAAAAGAGGCCGGGCGCGGTGGCTCAAGCCTGTAATCCCAGCACTTTGGGAGGTCAAGACAGGCGGATCACGAGGTCAGGAGATCGAGACCATCCTGGCTAACACGGTGAAACCCGGTCTCTACTAAAAATACAAAAAAAAAAAAAAAAATTAGCCAGGCATAGTGGCAGGCGCCTGTAGTCCCAGCTACTCAGGAGGCTGAGGCTGGAGAATGGTGTGAACCCAGGAGGCGGAGCTTGCAGTGAGCCGAGATCACGCCACTGCACTCCAGCCTGGGCGACTGAGTGAGACTCCATCTCTAAAAAAAAAAAAAAAAAAACAGAAATTAACGTCTTGGGGTCACGTGTTTACTTCTCATGTGACAGGCAACGAAAAGAGAGTAGGACACCTGAATGTGCTTTGTACTAAGGAGTGGTATTAAGAACTCGGAAACTGACCGTTGAAGGTTCTCGGGAGCTGAACCTGAGGCCTCCTATATGTAAGGCACACGTTCTATCACTGAACTACATCTCCTCATGCCAAGAGATATTTGTGTCGTCCTCCAAGTACTATTGCAGTATATGAAAACAATAAAAATATGGAAATAAAAAATAACTTAAAAATTAAAAAGGTGGCCGGGCACGGTAGCTCACGCTTGTAATCGCAGCAGTTTGGAAGTTGGAGGCGGTCAGATCATTTAAGGTCAGAAGTTCGAGGCCAGCCGAGCCAACAAGGTGAAACCCTGTCTCTACTAAAAATACAAAAATTAGCCGGGCGTGATGGCACGTGCCTGTAACCCCAGCTGCTCAGAGGTTGAGGCAGGAGAATCTCTTGAACCTGGGAGGTGGAGGCTGCAGTGAGCGGAGATGGCGCCACTGCACTCCAGCCTTGGGGACAGAGTGAGACTCTGTCTCAAAAAACAAACAAACAAAAACCCAAAAACCCTAAAAAGGTATTTCTCCAATCTAAAGATGTAAAAAATTAAATAAAATGAAAAATAAAGGAATATCTCGTTATATTCTGTGGGTCTCCATTCCTGTGTTCATTGTTTTAGCACTAAGTGTTGGGTTTAGAAGC
This sequence comes from Homo sapiens, assembly GCF_000001405.40. NCBI lineage: Eukaryota > Metazoa > Chordata > Mammalia > Primates > Hominidae > Homo > Homo sapiens. The sequence continues at coordinate 98,911 of NT_167245.2, forward strand.
AGGATTTGTGACCATTTTAAGTTGGAAGACCCCCAGCTGTGGGGGATATTGAAGTTTTGGCAAATAAAGCTTGAAATGGAACGCAGAATACTGGAAACTTGCGTTAGAAAACTGACCAGCTTTTTCCTGAATAAAGCACTTCTGCTATTGCTGTTTGCTTCACAGGAATGGTAAGAGCAAAACTTTGATGAGAAAACCCCAGGTGAGAATGAAAACCACATGCAACCTGTTATTCATTGCCAAGGGGTTCTTGATTGTACTACAGCATGAAGGCAACTGAGGAGGTTCATGGAGTAGCCCAGAATAATGTTCAAGACATGAAATAAATAGCAGATTCAAGGATGGAGAAAAACTTTGAAATTTTGAAAGCACATTCATAGGTAGCTAGACACAGGATTCAAAGACTTATTGGATTTATAGAGCAAGCCAGAAAGTGGGGAATCCATAAAAGAGAGCCTCAACAAACAGGAGGAAAAAAAGCAGAATAGAGATGCTTATTGTTCTTTGAAGGAATGGACAAGATATTAGGAGGAGGAGGTGAGTTTGTTTGGGAACGTGTTGAACTTACCATATTCTTCCGTAGGATCCTGCCCATTGGTGAAACACAGTGAACTTAGCCCAGTGCTCTGATCTGAATACGTGGAGGTGGGAGTGAGTAGAAGGCACCAATACAGTGTGAGTACAATGAGAACTCAAAGTGTCCTTTGAGATATGAAGATCAGAAACTTACTTACTGATAGTTGTGAAAAGCAAAAAAATGAACTTCTTCCTAGCTGATCTTCAACCCTGGAATTCACACTGGTTGTCACCATGGCCTTGAAACTTTCACAAAAGACCCAGAAAGTCTCATTTCCTGGCTAGTTTCCCAGTAGGTGTTATCTTTTCTCATTCATCTTCATTCTCATTCTCCTTATGTATGACTTTACCTATATTGGTAAGCATATTGCTGAGCCCCTTTCGAGGTTGGGAACACCTTATGGTTTGGCAGAATTTCTCTCTGTTGGCTCATAGGGATAGCGGAATAGGTAAGAGGAAACATAATGGCAGGTTTCACTGAAATTGGGTATTTAAGTGTCACCCACAAAACTCTACAAGCTCTGGTGTGTGTGTGTTTGTGCGCGCGCGCGCGCGTGAAAGTGCTGGGAGGATGTGAGAAAAATTATCTAGGCTGTTTTGGCCGGGCGCGGTGGCTCATGGCTGTAATCCCAACACTTTGGGAGGCCGAGGCGGGCGGATCACGAGGTCAGGAGACCGAGACCATCCTGGCTAACACGGTGAAACCCCGTCTCTACTTAAAAAAAAAAACAAAAAACAAAAAATTAGCCAGGTGTAGTGGAGGGCGCCTGTAGTCCCAGCTACTCGGGAGGCTGAGGCAGGAGAATGGCGTGAACCCAGGAGGCGGTGCTTGCAGTGAGCCGAGATCGCGCTACTGCACTCCAGCCTGGGCGACAGAGCAAGACTCTGTCTCAAAAAAAAAAAAAAAAAGAAAGAAAGAAAGAAAGAAAGAAAATTATCTAGACTGTTTGATGGTGTGAAAGTTGTTTCCAGAGTCATCATGTAATTATTCTCTAACTTGCACCTGAAGAAACCAAGATACCAGTTAGATTACCAGAAGTTCCCCACAAGGAGGTGTTTCTTTTTTTTTTTTTTTCTGTTTGCCCCAAAGTACAGAGAACACTGTGAGAATTGTTTAAGTTTCTGTAAGCATTCAGAAATATCTATGCATGGGGAGACATAGGATGAGTTCCAAATATATGAGATTTTTCTGATGAACCAACCATTTATCTCAGGAGATAGAACTCATTCATACTCAATTACTCTGCTCAGGGAGCCTGCAGACATGCGAATGACATCTCTAGACAATCTACAACCAGAGAGAAGATTGTAACTGGTTGAGTACTGTTTTCTTAAAGTTGACAAAAAGGTGGAGTAATAGTTTTCATGTAAGGAGCTCTTATATGATAATCTAGAAATTGAATTCACTCTATATTCTTTGGGATTTACATCTTGATTTGTTGACAGGGAGAGGGAGGTTTGATTACACTGTTGTAAGTCTCCCACCTTGATTGAATATTAAAAAAGAATTCCTGAACTAGACAGTAAAGGGTTAAATAATCTTTTTTCTTCAATTAAATATGTCTTTGAAAAGAATAAAACTCTACCTTTTGAGTCAGATTGACTACATGGCCTGATGGATTGTGTCTGCTTCCATATCACTGTGCAGCCAATGGTCCTGCCCACCTGCCGCTTCCCACACATTCACCCAGGGTCTCACGCATGGCCACGTCCTCATTCCTCTCAGAAGTCCTTAATTTTTTTTTTTTTTTTTTGAGATGGAGTCTCATTGTGTCACCCAGGCTGGAGTGCAGTGGCATGATCTTGGCTCACTGCAACCTCCGCCTCCGAGGTTCAAGCAATTCTCCTGCCTCAGCCTCCCAAGTAGCAGTGATTACAGGTGGTCGCCACCATGCCCAGCTGATTTTTGAAAGAGGTCCTTAATTTCTCTGTGGAGAAAAATTTTTTTAAAATATGATCTCATTGAAGTATACAACCCCAAAATAAAATATAGTTGAATTTCCAAAATTCATCTACAATGTACCTTAAAATGATTCACTATTGTCCTAGGCCAAAGATAGGCACTGTTTGCTCTCAAAGAAGTACTTCTATCTGTCATATGTCATTTGTTTTCATTGTCCCAAGATGTTTTTGAAATCTCCATCCTATATTTTCTATAGCTTTCTTATATTAAACTCTTGGTTTTTGCATCCTATCCATTTCTACCCTAAATTACAGAGGTGGACTTCCTTAAAGAAGTCTATTGTGGGGAGCAGAAAAAAATATTTCCATTTGGGCCTGAGCCCTAGCATAAAGCAATGGTAATAATTCATGATAATTTTCCTCATGCTTTTACTATATTCCTTTGCAAATTGATTCCCATGATTGAAGCCTGTGAATAATTTTTTTCTGCCACAGTGAGTATAAGTGGCAAAGAGACATTGTGGAACTGTACTTTGAAAATGAGAGAAGAGAGAGAAAAAATGTCAACAGAACAGAAAATTATCTATTTCCCACATCAAGAAAGTCTGGGTCCTCAGTACTAACTCTGAATCTTTCTTTAAAGAAGTAAACTGAAACCCAAGACATCTTAATCTGAGAAAGAATGACTTTTGGAACTTATTTTCTCCATTGAAAATTTCCTAATCACTTCACAGGGACAGAGGTGGCCTGATATTATATCGGAAACCAAGGATTTCCCAATTCTTGAGATATCCTTCAGCTCACACTTTCATTAGGGTTAGCAAAGGGTTTTGGATCTTTAAAATCTATCACAGGGCTTAGAATACAAAGTGGTGTTAATACAAAAGTTCTTGAAGATTTGGTGGTAGCTGATGAGAAGAGGGCTGTGTATTCTGGAATGATTACAAGGTCTTATTCTATTTAAAATGTTTCAGAGCAAGGATACAAACTTCCCAGTTTACATTAGAAGTTAGCACAGCCTTTATTGCAAAACTTGCGAAAAAGAAAATAAAGGCCGGGAGTGGTGGCTCATGCCTGTAATCCCAGCACTTTGCGAGGCGGGCGGATCATGAGGTCAGGAGTTCGAGACCAGCCTGGCCAATATGGTGAAACCCCGTCCCTAAAAAAAATATAAAAAATTAGCCGGGCGCGGTGGCGCGCGCTTGTTGTCCCAGTTACTCGGGATGCTGAGGCAGGAGAATCGCTTGAACCCGGGAGGCGGAGGTTGCAGTGAGTCGAGATCGCGCCACTGCACTCCAACCTGGACGACAGAGTGAGACTCCGTCTCAAGAAAAAAAAAAAAGAAAATGAAAACTTCACATCATATTCAATCATGAATAGTGATTCAAAAAATATTACTAAGTACAATATTGCCAGAGAGGCAAGGAACAGAGTCAATGATTAGAACACAAAAATGATTCAGCAATAGAAATATATATTTTTTGCAATTATGTTTTCTGTTAGAATAGAAAATTGGGGGAAAAAACACAGCCGCGTATTTATACTATACACCCTTACTCCATCCACGTCAAAGCACGTCATATTGCTTCTTAAATGTGCAAAAGAATCTCTTGTGGATCTTGTTAAATTGCTACTTCTGGTTCAGTACGTCTGAGGTGAAGCTGAGATTTCGCTCTTCTAACAAGCTCTCCGGTGCCACCAACTCTTGTGTGGACCAAGAGTCTGAAAGATATCCTTACGATAGAGGGCTCACCTGTCTTAGGTAAAATTACTTCTGTAACGTCATCTAAGGGAAGTCAAATTATCCGGCAGGAGTGAAGACAGAATAAAACTGGAAATCAGTCCGTGAACTTTGAGATCTTCAGCAGAGCATGCTTCCCAGTGGAGCTATTTCGGCAGAAGTGTGACGCCTCTACATTCATTGATGAAAATAACTTTCTCAATTTCCCAGTTTGGAAGGCTTTGCGTTTGTCAGGGCTCAGCCTGCGATGGATCATGGCTAAACAAGGACCAGAAAAAAAATAAAGGAAATCGGCTGGGAGCGGTGGTGGCTTACTCCTGTAATCCCAGCACTGTGGGAGGCCGAGGCGGGAGGATCACGAGGTCAGGAGATCGCGACCATCCTGGCTAACACGGTGAAACCCTGTCTCTACCAAAAAAATAGAAAAAATTAGCCGGGCGTGGTGACGGGCGCCTGTAGTCCCGGCTACTCGGGAGGCTGAGGCAGAAGAATGGCGTAAACCCGGGAGGCGGAGCTTGCAGTGAGCCAAGATCGTGCCACTGGGCGACAGAGCGAGAGACTCCGTCTCAAAAAAAAAAAAGTAATAAAGAAAATTGAGAGCTTACGTTTTTCTTTTATTAAATATTTCCACATTTATCTTTTATTTCCTACTTTTTAAATAACAATACTCCAAAGGTTAATGAGCTCGTCAATTTGGCGACGCCATTGAAGTTTTGGAATCCGGAGCCGTCTTTGTCTTCCAGCTCCATCTTTTCCACCTTTTGCTTAGGCAGTCCCCCGAGTCGTGTCAAGGCTGAGGAGTAGAAATGGAACAGCACTAATATTAATGGCAAAACCGTTGTGAAATAGGGTTACTTTCTGTTTAAGCAAGGAAAATAAAGTAAAGCAATGGGAAAAAAATTAAAAGCAAAAGGAATGGAGGTGCCGGGGATTGAACCCGGGGCCTCGTGCATGCTAAGCACGCGCTCTACCACTGAGCTACACCCCCGTACTGAAACGGTTCTCTCGAGAGTATATTCAAGATCAGAATCTGACCCTTTTGCTAGGTTTCAGAACCATTAGTTGTAATCAGCCAAGGTCTATTTTATTTAGTTATTTCTGATATCTCAAATTTAGGTTTTGCGTCCCTCTTTGCTGACAGCTGAGCAAACCGCATTCTACACCGAAGGCCCTCTATTGATGGCCCTGGGATTTTTCTGCTCGTCAGTCCGGAGTCACTTACCGGGCACCACTAGAAGAACCCGGGATGAAACATTTTCTCCCGTGTCTTGACTCTCTCCTTTCTTTCACCGCTGCTTTAAAGGGCTGCCAGAAAGCCACAAAGTACAAAGCGAGGCATTTAGAGACCATAGTAGATGCAGGTGGCGAGGGAAGACAGGTGGAGAAACGCAGACGGGTTCGTGTCGGTGCAGCCACTGCTTTGGACCCGAGCCTCCGTCCCGCCGGGGGCCGGGGTGCTGAGCCCAGCGAGGCGCGGACTGGGGAGCGAGGAAGAGGAGCACCCGCCAGATCGCGCCCCCTTTCGGGCAGAATCCGCTCCCGGTCCGGTCCCGATTGGCAGAAAACGATACGAGGGCGGTATACACTCAACACGCGCATGAACGATTCATCAAGCCCTCCGTGTGCCGGGTCTGGCTCACCAACCTCATCCTCTGAGCTCCGGGCTTCTGCCTCCCAGCCCAAGGAACCCACAGGGTCTCAGCCAACACTGGGAGAGTAGCTTAAATGGGCAGAAAGACAAGATAAGGGGATGTGGTGAATAACAGAATTATCCAATCCTATTATCAGCCCATCTGAGATTAAAGGGACGTCAATCATACTTGAATACTTTATTTAAAAAAAACAGTTTGCAGAGGGTCGCATACAAGAAGAATAAAGTGGTTTTTTTTTTTTCATAAAAATGTGGATTCAGGAGCATTACCGGAAATAATCAAGGAACGAGGAAGAGTGTGGCGAGAGAGTTCGGGTCCGGTATACCTCTCTCTCCGCACCACATTCTTTTGTAGTACCTGTGAAACATTCATGAAAACGGACCACAGAAGAAAACCTCAGTAAGTTCCAAAGTATAGAAATAACACAAACATCATTCTCTGACCATCATGCAATAAAACTAGAAATTGATAAAATAAAAAATAAAAGTCACTTCCACCTGAAAATTTTAAAGCATGCTATAATACAACTCGAGTCAAGAAGGAAATACAAATTTTAATTACATAATTTCTTGAAAGGGACAAAAGTGCAAATGTGACATAGAATCTGTGAGATAGAGCTAAAGCATTTATCAGAAGGAAATTTATTTCCTCACATACCTATATCGATAACAAAAAATAACAAATGAATCAAACACAGCTCAAGATGCTACTAAATGAACAACAAAATAAACCAAAAGAATGAGGAAGGAAGGGTTGTAAGGACAAATTCAGAGAATGAGTTAGAAACAAAGTATAACTAATAAAGATACAAAAAAGGTGGATATTTGAAAGTCAACAAAATAGACAAACCTCTAGCCAACAAAGAGAAAATTAGTGCAAATACACAAAATTAGAACTGGAGGAAATAATCATCAACACAGAAGACCTTTTTTGAAATCATCAGAGATAACATAACACAACTAGCAAATAACTGGCAAACTTAGTGGATTTTTTAGACAAATGTAGCATACTCAAACTAACCCTTGTAGAGACAGAAAGTCTAAACAGACCAGTTAAGAAAAATAGTTTAACAGGCATACTCAATAAAAAGGGCACCAAGCTCAAATACTTTCATAAAGAAATCCTACCAAACTGTCAAATATCAAAAAATCATGATGCTACTTAAATTATTCGAAGCATAGACACTAGCACTTTATAAAGTTAGTATAACATTTCAGTTTGCACTAAAAATGAAAACTACAGGTCAATTTCACATATGAAATATATGAAATGTAATGCCTAAATCTTAAATAAAATTTATAGCAAACAGAATACAATAGCACATTTAAAACAGTAATACAGGATGTCCAAGTAGGGTTTATTCCAGGAGTGTAAAGATCACTCATTATTAGGAAAGATATTAATATAATCCATTGTAATTGGAACTGGAGGTCATTATGTTAAATAAAGTAAGCGAGAAACAGAAAGACAAATTTCACATCTTTTCAGTCATATGTGGGAGTTTAAAAAGTTGATCTCATGGAGGTAGAGAGTAGAATCATAGATACCAGGGTCAGGGAAGGGTGTGTGCATTGGAGCTGCGTACAAAGGCAGGTTGGTCAATGTGTACAAACATATAATTAGATAGAAGGTATAGGTTCTTTTTTTTTTTTTTTTTTTTGAGTTGGAGTCTGGCTGTCTTGCCCAGGCTGGAGTGCAGTGGCACCATCCCAGCTCACTGCAACCTCCACCTCCCAGGTTCAAGTGATTCTCCTGCCTCAGTCTCCTGAGCAGCTGGGATTACAGGTGCCTGCCACCACAGCCAGCCTCTAATGTTGATAGTAGAGTAGGGTGACTATAGTTAGCAACAATGTATTGTATATTTCAAAGTAGCTATAAGAGATAACCTGAAACCAACACATAGAAATGATAAATACTCAAAGTGATGGATACCCCAAATACCCTGACTTTACTCATAATAAGTGAAAGACATACTAAATTAGATTGGATAGCATACTTTGTTGTCAAGGTTGCCGAGAAATTAGTCTTTTCATAGAGTACTGGTGGGAATGGAAAATGGTATAATTCCAAGGGCAGAAAATTTGCAGTATCTAGAAAAAATGTATAATTATTTACCCTTTAACCCACAAATTCCACTTCTAAAAAGCTATCCCTAATATATACTATCAAAATAAAAAGGGCCAGGCACAGTGGCTTACGCCTGTAATCTCAACACTTTGGAAGGCCAAGGCCGGCAAATCACTTGAGGCCAAAAGTTTGAGACCAGCCTGGTCAACACAGTGAAACCCTGCCTCTACTAAAAATACAAAAAGTAGTCAGGTGTAGTGGCGGGCACTTGTAATTGCAGCTCCTCAAGAGGCTGAGGCAGGAGAATTGCTTGAATCCCAGGAGGCAGAGGTTGCAGTGAGCCAAGATGTCACCACAGCACTCCAGCCTGGGTGAGAGAGCAAAACTCCATCTCAAATAATAATAATAATAATAAATACTAAATAAATAAAAAGGAAAACAGATGCATGACTATTCATCACAACTCTATTTGTAAAGCAAAAGAAGGAAACAATCCAGGCCGGGTGCGGTGGCTCATGCCTGTAATCCCAGCACTTTGGGAGGCTGAGGCAGGTGGATCACCAGGTCAGGAGATTGAGACCATCCTGGCTAACATGATGAAACCCCGTCTCTATTAAAATACAAAAAATTAGCTGGGTGTGGCGGCACGTGCCTGTAGCCCCAGCTACTAGGGAGGCTGGGGCCAAGATCATGCCACTGCACTCTAGCCTGGGAGACAGAGCGAGACTCCATCTCAAAAAAAAAAAAACAAAAAAAAGGAAACAATCCAAATGTCTGACAAAAGGGTCAATTTGAGAAAACTATGGTACATCAATATAATGTCACTGTAAAAAGGAATACTAAATGATCAGCTTCAATCTCTCCTTCCCCTATGAAGAAGGGCATATATGTATTTGAACTTCACTGGGACACTGGGTAATCACTCTCCTACAATTACCCCATGCTTATGTATGTTAAATAAATTTTGTATGTCTTTTTCTTTTATTAATCTGCCTTTGTCACTTCATTTTCAGCAAATTTCAGTGGGCAGAGAGGAAGCTTTTCCGCCACCCCTACATAGTTAATACTCTACCTTGAGCATGGCACACAGAGAATACTAAGGTGCTAATAGCTCTTACTGCGGCTTGTGAGGCAGTGGCTTCAAAACAGGAAATACAAGCCAAGAGGATTTCAGACTACTGCACTTCATCCACTGAGTGTTCAGCATCTAGAACTTTTCTTCCACAAAGAGAAACATGCAATTGTTACCACCTCTAGCTCCAGAGTCCTAGCTCAGAGATTTTTCCTATAGAAAGAAATGAGCCAGCCGGGCATGGTGGCTCATGTCTGTAATCCCAGCACTTTGGGAGGCCAAGGCGGGCAGATCACCTGAGGTCAGGAGTTTGAGACCAGCCTGGCCAACATGGCGAAAACCCATCTCTACTAAAAATACAAAAAAAATAGCTGGGCCTGGTGGTGTGTGCCTATAATTCCAGCTACTATGGAGGCTGAGGAAGGAGAATCGCTTGAACCCAGGAGGTGGAGGTTGCAGTGAGCTGAGATTGTACCACTGCACTCCAGCCTGGGCGACAGAGCAAGACTCCATCTCAAAAAAAAAAAAAAAAAAAAGAAGAAGAAGAAATAAATGAGCCAAAAAGTAGATAGCTTCCAATCCTTTCCCAAAATAACTGATTTAATTTGTAACATAGAATAGAGAAGTGGAAAGCTAAGGGCATTCTCAAGAATGGTGGAGATTTTGATGAAAGGTAATTGGGAGGAAATTTGTGAATCTAAGAAAGATAGATCTTAAACTGCAGTCTGGCTAGTATGCAGGAGAGAATCAGGAAATAAGACAGGTAGGAGGAACCCTTTTGGAGTCAGGACAAATATCAAATACTTACATCAGAAACTATTCCATTTAAGGAGCTACATTTTGATTGGATTTGTTCATAGAGGAATTTATACCTCAAGGCATTGTTGAAAACAATACAACAACTGGTCAGCAATAACTGAAACACAACAGTAGGGTGTGGTCAGAAAAAGAGTGAAAAAGAACATTGCCAGCACCACTGTCATCCCAGGGTGACTGGGGGCATACCAAAAACTGCATCACCACGAAGACTAATGTCAGAGGATTAGCACTCTTGGGAGTGAAATATCCAGGGTTATATAATACTCCATGTTAATAAAATGAATGGCAATAATCAAATATCATCTCAATTGAGATACAGAAAGGATTCAACAAAATTCAACACACTTTTATGAAAAAAGCACTCAGCGGCCAGGCGCGATGGCTCACGCCTGTAATCCCAGCACTTTGGGAGGCCGAGGCGGGCGGATCACGAGTTCAGGAGATCGAGACCATCGTGGCTAACACGGTGAAACCCCGTCTCTACTAAAAAAAATGAAAAAAATTAGCCGGGCATGGTGGCAGACGCCTGTAGTCCCAGCTACTCGGGAGACTGAGGCAGGAGAATGGCGTGAACCCGGGAGGCAGACTTTGCAGTGAGCAGAGATGGCGCCACTGCACTGCAGCCTGGTCAAGGGAGCAAAACTCCGACTCAAAAAAAGAAAAAAGAAAAGAAAAAAGAAAAAAGTACTCAGCAAACTAGGAATAGAATGAAACTACCTCAACTTAATAAAAGCCATACATGAAAAGCCCACAGGTAATATATTCAGTGGCCTTAGCTTTTCCTCTAAGATCTAGAACAAGGCAAGGATGCTTACTCTCACCACTACTGTTCAACATAGCACTAGAAGTCCTACTCAGAGCAATTAGACAAGAAAAAAAGCCCCAGTGCGCTGGCTACAGCCTGTAATCCCAGCACTTTGGGAGGCCGAGAGGGTGCACTGCTTGAGCCCAGGTGTTCAAGACCAGCCTAGGCAACATGGTGAAACCCCATAACCATAAAAATCTACAAAAACTAGCCGGGCATGATGGCATGCACCTGTAATCCCAGCTACTTGGGAGGCTGAGGCAGGGTTCACTTGAACCCGGGAGGTGGAGGTTGCAATGAGCCGAGATCACACCATTGTACTCCAGCATGGGGACAAAGCCAGACCCCGTCTTGAAAGAAAAGAAAAGGAAGGAAAGAACGAAAGAAAGAAACAAAAGTCATCCAAACTGGAAAAGAAAACTAAAATTATCTGTTTACAGATGACATGATCTTATATGTGGAAACCCTGAAGACCTTCCCACACACACACAAAAAAACCTGTTACAACTAATAAACAACTTTAGAAAAGTAGCAGGGTATAAAATGAACACACAAAAATCAGTTGCATTTCTACAAACTAGCAATGACCAACCTGAAAAGAAAATTAAGAAAACAATCCCATTTACTATAGCACCAAAAAGAATAAAATATTTAGGCATAAACTGAACCAAGGAGGTAAAAGACTTGTGCGGGAAAAACTACAAAACATTGCTAAAAGAAATCAGACAAGATACAAATAAATGGAAAGGCATCCTGTGCTTGTGGAGTGGAAGACTTTAATACTGTGAATAAGTACATATTATCCAACGTGATCTACAGATTCAATGGCATTCTTATCAAAAACTCAATGGCAATTTTGCAGAAATAGGAAAATATAGAAAAAAATCATCCTAAGACTCATATGGAATCTCCAGGGAACCTGAACAGCCAAAACAATCTTGAAAAAGAACAAAGCTGTAGAACTCATTCTTCCTGATTTTGAACCATACTAGAAAGCAACGCTAATGAAGATGGTTGTAGGGGCCAGGCGCAGTGGCTCATGCCTGTAATCCCAGCACTTTGGGAGACCAAGGTGGGTGGATGACGAGGTCAGGAGTTCAAGGCCAGCCTGGCCAGCATGGTAAAACCCCGTCTCTACTAAAAATACAAAAGATTAGCTGGGCATGGTGGCACGTGCCTATAGTCCCAGCTACTTGGGAGGCTGAGGCAGGAGAATTGCTTGAACCCGGCAGGCAGAGGTTGCAGTGAGCTGAGATCATGCCAATGCACCCTAGCCTGGGTGACAGGTGACAGAGCAAGACTCTGTCTCAAACAAAAAAGATGGTTGTATTACTGACATAAAGACAGGTATACAGACTAATGGAACAGAGAGCCCAGAAATAAATCCTTGCATATATGGATGAATAATTTTGACAATGATGCCAAGACTACACAATGGAGAAAGGACAGAGCCTTCAGTAAACAGTATTGGAAAAAGTGGTTATCTACATGCAAAATAATGAATTGGACCTTATCTTTATACATATACAAAAAAAATTCAAAATGGGTTAAAGACCTAAACATAAGACCAAAAACTATACAACTCCTCGAAGAAAACATGGAGGAAAAGCTTCAGGACATTGGATTTGACAGTGATTTCTTGGACAAGCCACCAAGAACACAGACAACAAAAGCAAAAATAGACAAATGGGACCACACCAAACTTAAAAATTTCCGCACATCAAAGGAAACAATCAAAAAAGTGAAAACACAACCTATGGAACAGGAGGAAAATGTTTGCAACTGATAAAGGGTTAATATCCAGCGTATATAAGGAACTTGTACAACTCAACAACAACAAAAAACAAATAACCTGATTTTAAAATGGGCAACAGACTTTAATAAACATTTCTTGAAAAAAGATATACAAATAGCCAATAAGCATATGAAAAAATGTTCAACATTACTAATCATTAGAGAAATACAAATCAAAATCATAATGAAATATAATCTCACATCTGTTAGGATGGCCCTATGAAAAGAATAGAAAATAACAAGTGTTGGAGAGGATATGCAGAAATTGGAAATGTGTGCACTGTTGGCGGGAATGTAAAATGGTGCAGCCATTATGAAAAACAGTGTGGAGTTCGTGGTCTATATACATATATATATACATGTATATATATAAGTTATAGGTTTTCATCCACAGTTACTGGTTCATAACTTCCATCTCCCTTGTTACAGTCTTTTGTTATAATGTTGTGTGTGTTAGGCCTCAGGGGCAGGCCTCAAGGAACAGAATCTACCTCCTGCCTTCCTTTCACCTGCCCCAAGGCAGAACTCTAATATTACCCCATCTTTTTCATTATGGGTCTTAAGACCCTCCCCTGGGAGGGTCCAGTCTCATACCCTGGAGGAAGGAATGCTTCCATACAAACCCAAGAAGACTGGGTTCAAAGACCTCCAGATAGCTGAACCCGTGAAGGTTGCTGGAGGGTGGCATGCCCAGGGAGGGCATGGAAGCTCCATACCCCTTCCACCATACCTTGCCCTGCCAGTCTATTCATCTGTGTCCTTTATAATAAACTGGTGAATGTAAATGTTTCCCTGAGTTCTGTGAGCCACTCCAGCAAATTAACTTAACCCAAAGAGGAGGTTGTAGGAACCCCAAATTGAAACCAGTCAGTCAAGAAGTCCCAGAGACCCAGACTTGCAACTGGTATCTGAGGCTATAGGGGGAAGTCTTGTGGACTGAGCCCCCAACCTGCAGGAACTGACATTACCTTCAGGTAGACAGTGTCAGAACTGAATTGGAGGACACCTAGCTGGTGTCTGCTGCTTGATGTGTGGGGAAAAACCTTCACACATTTGGCCACAGTAGTCTTCTATGTTGATGATTATTGTGGTGTAAGACTAGAGGAAAATGGTTGGTGAGAGTTTTCCCAACACAGGGTTTCTTCACAAAATTAAAATTATGATTCCCATATAATCCAGCAAACCTACTTCTGCAGGGGTTTCAAAAGAATTCAAAAGCATTCAAAGTAGGATCCTAAAGAGATAACTGTAGCATTATTCACACTAGCCAAGAGGTAAAAGCAAAACAAATGTCAATTGACAGATGAATGGATATACCAAATGTGGTATATACATACAACAGAATATTATGTAGCCTTAAAAAAGGAAATCCTATCACATACTACAATAATAGATAAATCTTGAGGACATTATGGCAAGTGAAGTAAGCCAGTCACAAAAGAACAGACACTGTATGATTCCACTAATAAGAAGTATCTAAAGTAGACACAATTATAGAAACAGAAGGTAGAAAGGTGGTTGCCAAGGACTGGCTGGAAGGGAGAGGAGAATTAGCGTTTGTTGGGCATAGAGTTTCAGTGTTGAAAGATGAAAGTGTTCCAGAGATCTGTTGCATAACAATGTGAATATACTTAATACTACTAAACTGTATACTTAAAAATGGTTAGGATGATAAATTTAATGTTATGTGTTTTACTTTTATTTAAAACAATTTAAATACGTTCAGATAAATAAAAATGAGTTCAGTCAGGCGCGGTGGCTCATGCCTGTAATCCCAGCACTTTGAGAGGCCAAGGCGGGCGAATCACTTGACGCTAGGAGTTGGAGGCCAGCCTAGTCACAAAACCATGTCTCTACAAGAAAATATAAAAAATTAGCTGGGTGTGGTGGCACATGTCTGTAATCCCAGCTACTGGGGAGGCTGAGGCATGAGAATCGTTTGAACCTGGGAAGGTGAGGTTGCAGTGAGCTGAGAATGTGCCACTGCACTCCAGCCTGGGTGACAGGGTGAGACTAGGTCTCAAAAAAAAAAAAAAGTACACAACAGCACAACATATCAAAATGTACTGGATACAGCTAAAACAGTGCTAAGAAGTAAATTTATAGCTGGGAATGTTTATGTTAGGAAAGACAAAAGATCTTAAATCAATAGCCCTTACATTGTAAGACACTGAAAAAAGACGAGCAAACTAAAGCTAACGCAACAGGAAGGAAAGAAATAAAGATTAGAGTGGAAACTAATGAAATAGAAAAACAATAAATAAATAAATAAAATAAAATATTTATTTCTTAAAAAGGTAAACAAAATTGTCAAACCCTAAACTAGATTGACCAAGATAAGGGAGAGATGATTCAAGTCACTAAAATCAGAATTGAAATGGAAACATTACTGTGGGGCGCAGTGGCTCACACCTGAAATCCCAGCACTTTCGGAGACCGAGGTGTGTGCATCACGAGGTCAGGAGTTTGGGACCAGCCTGGCCAACATGGTGAAACCCCATTTCTACTAAAAATACAAAAATTAGGTAGGTATGGTGGTACCCACCTGTAGTCCCAACTACTCAGGAAGCTGAGGCAGAAGAATCACTTGAACCTGGGAGCCGAGATTGTGCCACTGCACTCCAGCCTGAGGGACAGAGTGAGACTGCATCTCGGAAAAAAAAACAAAAAACAAAAAAGAAATCCCCTGTTAGAAGAGAATAAAATAGAGTGAAAACAAGATGGCCAAATAGGAACAGCTCTGGTCTGCAGCTCCCAGCGTGATTGCCACAGAAGATAGGTGATTTCTGCATTTCCAACTAAGGTAACTGGTTCATCTCACTGGGACTGGTTGGACAGTGGGTACAGCCCATGGAGGGTGAGCTGAAGCAGGGCGGAGCATCGCCTCACCTGGGAAGTGCAAGGTTCAGGGGATTTCCCTTTCCCAGCCAAGGGAAACTGTGACAGAGTGTACCTGGAAAATCGGGACACTCCTGCCCTAATACTGCACTTTTCCAATGGTCTTAGCAAATGGCACACCAGGAGATTATACCCAGAGCCTGGCTCAGAGGGTCCTACGCCCACGGAGCCTTGCTCACTGCTAGAGCAGCAGTCCGAGATCGAACAGCGAGGTGGCAGCCTGGCTGGGGGAGGGGGTCCTCCATTGCTGAGGCTTGAGTAGGCAAACAAAGTGGCCCAGAAGCTCTTATTGGGTGGAGTCCACCACAGCTCAAGGAGGCCTGCCTGCCTTTGTAGACTCCACCTCTGGGGGGCAGGGCATAGCTGAACAAAAGGCAGCAGAAACTTCTGCAGACTTAAACGTCCCTGTCTGACAGCTCTGAAGAGAGCAGTGGTTCTCCCAGCACGGAGTTTGAGTCCTAAGAAGGGACAGACTGCCTCCTCAAGTGGGTCCCTGACCCCTGTGTAGCCTAACTGGGAGACACCTCCCAGTAGGGGCCGACTAACACCTCATACAGCCAGGTGCCCCTCTGAGACGAAGCTTCCAGAAGAAGGATCAGGCAGTAATATTTGCTGTTCTGCAATATCTGCTGTTCTGCAGCCTCTGCTGGTGATACCCAGGCAAACAGGGTCTGGAGTGGACCTCTAGCAAACTCCAACAGACCTGCAGCTCAGAGACCTGTTAGGAGGAAAACTAACAAACAGAAAGAAATAGCATCAACATCAACAACAAGGACATCCACACCAAAAGCCCATCTGTAGGTCACCATCATCAAAGACCAAAGGCAGATAAAACCACAAAGATGGAGAGAAACCAGAGCAGAAAAGCTGAAAATCCTAAACACCAGAACACCTCTTCTCCTCCAAAGGATCGCAGCTCCTCACCAGCAATGGAACAAAGCTGGATGGAGAATCACTTTGATGAATTGACAGAAGTAGGCTTCAGAAGGTCAGTAATAACAAACTTCTCCGAGCTAAAGGAGGCGGTTTGAACCCATCATAAGGAAGCTAAAAACCTTGAAAAAAGATTAGACAAATGGCTAACTAGAATAAACAGTGTAGAGAAGACCTCAAAGGACCTGATGGAGCTGAAAACCATGGCACGAGAACTACGTGACACATGTAAAAGCTTCAGTAGCCGATTCCATCAAGTGGAAGAAAGGGTATCAGTGATTGAAGATCAAATTAATGAAACGAAGCAAGAAGAGAATTTAGAGAAAAAAGGGTAAAAAGAAGCCGGGCGCGGTGGCTCACGCCTGTAATCCCAGCATTTTGGGAGGCCGAGGCGGGCGGATCACAACGTCAGGAGATCGAGACCATCCTGGCTAACACGGTGAAACCCCGTCTCTACTAAAAATACAAAACATTAGCTGGGCATGGTGGCGGGCGCCTGTAGTCCCAGCCACTCGGGAGGCTGAGGCAGGAGAATGGCGTGAACCCGGGAGGTGGAGCTTGCAGTGAGCCAAGATGGCACCACTGCCCTCCAGCCTCGGTGACACAGTGAGACTCTGTCTCAAAAAAAAATAAATAAATAAAAGAAAAAAGGCTAAAAAGAAACAAACAAAGCCTCCAAGAAATATGGGACTATGTGAAAAGACCAAATCTACGTCTGATTGGTGTACCTGACACTGACAGGGAGAATGGAACCAAGTTGGAAAACACTCTTCAGGATATTATCCAGGAGAACTTCCCCAACCTAGTAAGGCAGGCCAACATTCAAATTCAGGAAATACAGAGAACACCACAAAGATACTCCTCGAGAAAAACAATCCCAAGACACATAATTGTCAGATTCACCAAGGTTGAAATGAAGGAAAAAATGTTAAGGGCAGCCAGAGAGAAAGGTCGGGTTACCCGCAAAGGGAATCCCATCAGACTAACAGCAGATCTCTTGGCAGAAACTCTACAAGCCAGAAGAGAGTGGGGGCCAATATTTATCATTCTTAAAGAAAAGAATTTTCAACCTAGAATTTCATATCCAGCCAAACTAAGCTTCATAATTGAAGGAGAAATAAAATCCTTTGCAGACAAGCAAATGCTGAGAGATTTTGTCACCACCAGGCCTGCCTTACAAGAGCTCCTGAAGGAAGCGCTAAACATGGAAAGGAACAACTGGTACCAGCCACTGCAAAATCATGCCAAATTGTAAAGACCATCGATGCTAGGAAGAAACTGCATCAACTAATGGGCAAAATAACCAGCTAACATCATGACAGGATCAAATTCACACATAACAATATTAACCTTAAATGTAAATGGGCTAAATGCCCCAATTAAATTAGACACAGACTGGCAAATTGGATAAAGAGTCAAGACCCATCAAGTGTGCTGTATTCAGGAGACCAATCTCACATGCAGAGACGCACACAGGCTCAAAATAAAGGGATGGAGGAAGATCTACCAAGCAAATGTAAAGCAAAAAAAAAAGCAGCAGTTGCAATCCTAGTCTCTGATAAAACAGACTTTAAACCAACAAAGATCAACAAAGACAAAGAAGGCCATTACATAATGGTAAAGGGGTCAATTCAACAAGAAGAGCTAACTATCCTAAATATATATGCACCCAATACAGGAGCACCCAGATTCATAAAGCAAGTCCTTAGAGACCTACAAAGAGACTTAGACTCCCACACAATAATAATGGGAGACTTTAACACCCCACTGTCAATATTAGACAGATCAATGAGACAGAAGGTTAACAAGGATATTCAGGACTTGAACTCAGCTCTGGACCAAGCAGACCTAATAGACATCTACAGAACTCTCCACCCCAAATAAACAGAATATACATTCTTCTCAGCACCACATCACACTTATTCCAAAATTGACCACAAAGTTGGAAGTAAAGCACTCCTCAGCAAATGTAAAAGAACAGAAATCACAACAAACTGTCTCTCAGACCACAGTGCAATCAAATTAGAACTCAGGATTAAGAACCTCATTCAAAACTGCACAACTACATGGAAACTGAACAACTTACTCCTGAATGACTACTGGGTAAATAACAAAATGAAGGCAGAAATAAAGATGTTCTTTGAAACCAATGAGAACAAAGACACAACATACCAGAATCTCTGGGACGCATTTAAAGCAGTGTGTAGAGGGAAATTTATAGCACTAAATGCCCACAAGGGAAAGCAGGAAAGATCTAAAATCGACATCCTAACATCACAATGAAAAGAACTAGAGAAGCAAGAGCAAACACATTCAAAAGCTAGCAGAAGGCAAGAAATAACTAAGATCAGAGCAGAACTGAAGGAGACAGAAACACAAAAAACC
This sequence comes from Homo sapiens, assembly GCF_000001405.40. NCBI lineage: Eukaryota > Metazoa > Chordata > Mammalia > Primates > Hominidae > Homo > Homo sapiens. Next base: position 117,555 of record NT_167245.2, read on the forward strand.
ATTCAAAAAATCAATGAATCCAGGCGCTGGCTTTTTTGAAAAGATCAACAAAATTGATACATCACCAGCAAGACTAATAAAGAAGAAAATAGAGACTAATCAAACAGATGCAATGAAAAATGATAAAGGGGATATCACCACCGATCCCACAGAAATGCAAACTACCATCAGAGAATACTATAAACACCTCTATGCAAATAAACTAGAAAATCTAGAAGAAATGGATAAATTCCTGGACACATACACTCTCCTAAGATTAAACTGGGAAGAAGTTGAATCCCTGAATAGACCAATAACAGGCTCTGAAATTGAGGCAATAATTAATAGCCTACCAACCAAAAAAAGTCCAGGACCAGACGGATTCACAGCAGAATTCTACCACAGGTACAAAGAGGAGCTAGTCCGATTTCTTCTGAAACTATTCCAAACAATAGAAAAAGAGGGACTCATCCCTAACTCATTTTATGAGGCAAGCATTATCCTGATACCAAAGCCTGGCAGAGACATGACAAAAAAAGAGAATTTTAGACCAATATCCCTGATGAACATCGATGCGAAAATCCTCAATAAAATACAGGCAAACCAAATCGAGCAGCACATCAAAAAGCTTATCCACCAAGAACAAGTTGGCTTCATCCCTGGGATACAAGGCTTGTTCAACATATGAAAATCAATAAATGTAATCCATCACATAAACAGAACCAAAGCCAAAAACCATGTGATTATCTCAATAGATGCAGAAAAGGCCTTCGACAAAATTCAACAGCCCTTCATGCTAAAAACTCTCAATAAACTAGGTATTGATGGGACGTATCTCAAAATAATAAGAGCTGTTTATGCCAAACCCACAGCCAATATCATATTGAATGGGCAAAAACTGGAAGCATTCCCTTTTAAAGCTGGCACAAGACAGGGATGCCCTCTCTCACCACTTCTATTCAACATAGTGTTGGAAGTTCTGGCCAGGGCAATCAGGCAAGAGAAACAAATAAAGGGTATTCAATTAGGAAAAGAGGAAGTCAAATTGTCCCTGCTTGCAGATGACATGATTGTATATTTAGAAAACCCCATCGTCTCAGTCCAAAATCTCCTTAAGCTGATAAGCAACTTCAGCAAAGTCTCAGGATACAAAATCAATGTGCAAAAATCACAAGCATTCCTATACATCAGTAACAGACAGAGAGCCAAATCATGAGGGAACTCCCATTCACAATTGCTACAAAGAGAATAAAATACCTAGGAATCCAACTTACAAGGGATGTGAAGGACCTCCTCAAGAAGAACTACAAACCACTGCTCAACAAAATAAAAGAGGACACAAACAAATGGAAGAACATTCCATGCTCATGGATAGGAAGAATCAATATCATGAAAATGGCCCTACTGCCCAAGGTAATTTATAGATTCAATGCCATCTCCCTCAAGCTACCAATGACTTTCTTCACAGAATTGGAAAAGACTACTTTAAAGTTCATATGGAACCAAAAAAGAGCCTGCATTGCCAAGACAATCCTAAGCCAAAAGAACAAAGCTGGAGGCATCACGCTACCTGACTTCAAACTATACTACGTGGTTACAGTAACCAAAACAGATGGTACTGGTACCAAAATAGATATATAGACCAATGGAACAGAATAGAGCCCTCAGAAATAATACCACACGTCTACAACCATTTGATCTTTGACAAACCTGACAAAAACAAGAAATGGGGAAAGGATTCCCTATTTAATAAATGGTGCTGAGAAAACTGGCTAGCCATATGTAGAAAGCTGAAACTGGATCCCTCCCTTAAACCTTATACAAAAATTAATTCAAGATGGATGAAAGACTTAAATGTTAGACCTAAAACCATAAAAACCCTAGAACAAAACCTAGGCAATACCATTCAGGACATAGGTATGGACAAGGACTTCATGACTAAAACACCAAAAGCAATGACAACAAAAGCCAAAATAAACAAATGGGATCTAATTAAACTAAAGAGCTTCTGCACAGCAAAAGAAACTACCATCAGAGTGAACAGGCAACCTACAGAATGGGAGTAAATTTTTGCAATCTACCCATCTGACAAAGGGCTAATATCCAGAATCTACAAAGAACTCAAACAAATTTACAAGAAAAAATCAAACAACCCCATCAAAAAGTGGGCAAAGGATATGAACAGACACTTCTCAAAAGAAGACATTTATGCAGCCAAAAGACACATGAAAAAATGCTCATCATCACTGGCCATCAGAGAAATGCAAATCAAAACCACAATGAGATACCATCTCACACCAGTTAGAATGGTGATCATTAAAAAGTCAGGAAACAACAGGTGCTGGAGAGGATGTGGAGAAATAGGAATGCTTTTACACTGTTGGTGGGACTGTAAACTAGTTCAGCCATCGTGGAAGACAGTGTGATAATTCCTCAAGGATCTAGAACTAGAAATACTATTTGACTCAGCAATCCCATTACTGGGTATATACCCAAAGGATTATAAATTATGCTACTATAAAGACACATGCACACATATGTTTATTGCGGCACTATTCACAATAGCAAAGACTTGGAACAACCCAAATATCCATCAATGATAGACTGGATTAGGAAAATGTGGCACATATACACCATGGAATACTATGCAGCCATAAAAAAGGATGAGTTCATGTCCTTTGTAGGGACATGGATGAAGCTGGAAACCATCATTCTCAGCAAACCATAACAAGGACAGAAAACAAAACACCTCATGTTCTCACTCATGGGGGGAATTGAACAATAAGAACACTTGGACACAGGAAGGGGAATGTCACACACCAGGGCCTGTCGTGGAGTGGGTTAGTGGGGAGGGATAGCATTAGGAGAAATACCTAATGTAAATAACAAGTTAATGGGTGCAGGATACCAACATGGCACGTGTATACATATGTAACAAACCTGCACATTGTGCACATGTACCCTAGAACTTAAAGTACAAAAAATAAGAGAATAAAATATTTCCCCCCTTAGACCTGAGCCCTGATAGTATTTATTTATATTTCTGACCCCCTACTACAGCTTCTTACTTTTGACAATTGTCCTTTTTTTTTTTTTGAGATTGAGGCTCGCTCTGTCACCCAGGCTGGATTGCAACAGCGCAATCTCAGCTCACTGCAACCTCCACCTCCCAGGTTCCAGTGATTATCCTGTCTCAGACTCTCAAGTAGCTGGGATTACAGGCGGCTGTCACTATGCCTGGCTAATTTTTTGTATTTTTAGTAGAGAAGGGGTTTTGCCATATTGGCCAGGCTGGTCTCAAACTCCTGACCTCAAGTGATCCTCCCACCTCGGCCTCCCAAAGTGCTGGGATTACAGGCATGAGCCACCATGCCCAGCCAATTGTCCTTTTTCTAACACAAAATACTTCCATGGTCTGAGCACCGTGAATGAGGCTGTCAAACTGGAAAAGTGAGTTAAGCTGAGATGCAGACCTGCCAAAGTCTCAACCAACACCATAGGGAGCACTGGATTACATATGGCCTATACTCCTGTGGTGCCAAAACGACAAATCTTTTTACTCCACTGCAATCAATTGTTGAAGGTGCATCATCCCAGGAAGGGTGTGCTTTTGGGAGAATCAACTCTCTGCACCTGAGATAAACCCTAGAACATTGGCAGCACTCCAAACAACTAAGGGAAATGAGTCCTTCTTTGAGAGGGAATGTAGGTGGCATTTCTCCATGTCTTATATATCTCAGTTATTATTTATTCAAATATTGCCTCTGCTCTATTGTCTTTCATCCATTAAAAATTCTAATTAAATATATATTAGATCTCCTTATCCTCTCTTCTATTAATACCATTATTTTGCATCTCCATACTTTGTTCTGAATAATTACTTTTTGTTTTTTTATGAGACAGAGTATCGCTCTGTTGCCCAGGCTGGAGTAAAGTGGCACAATCTCGGCTCACTGCAAGCTCCGCTTTCTGGGTTCATGCCATTTTCCTGCCTCAGACTCCCAAGTAGCTGGGACTACAGGTGCCTGCCACCACACCTGGCTAATTTTTTGTATTTTTAGTAGAGATGGGGTTTCACCGAGTTATCATGATGGTCTCGATCTCCTGACCTCGTGAACCACCTGCCTCAGCCTCCCAAAGTGCTGGGTTTACAGATGTGAGCCACCACGCCCAGCGTGTTCTGAATAATTTCTTCTAAATTATTTTCCACTTTACTAATACTCTTTTCAGTTGTGTCAAGTTTGTTGTTAATTTATCCTTCAAGTTCTTAATTTTGGTTATTATATATTTCAATTACAAATAAATTTTGGTTTTTATTTTTAAATCTACTTCGTCAGTTTTTATATTTTTCAATTTGCTCCTTAAATTTTTTAGATTAGCTTTTGTTTCTTTGAATATAGTAAGCAGTTTTGTTACACCCTTATCTGATAATTTCCAAATCTGAAGTTTAGTAGATTCTATTTCTGGTATCTGTCATTTCTTTTTCTTTCTTTCCTTTCTTTTCTCTTTTTCTTTTTTCTTTCTTTCTCTCTTTCTTTCTCTCTCTTTTCTTTCTTTTCTTTTTTTGAGTCTGTTGTTTCTGTTGATTTTCACGGAGACTTGTTTGTTCATGTGTATGCACGTTTGTATGCTGGGTTTTGTATTTGAAAAAAATATTTCTAGAAATAATGTGAAGTCTAGGTTAAAGTTTTATTCCTTCAGAGAGGATTTTCTTTTGCTTCTTCAGAAACCTAGATGTGCTGAAATACAGCCCACCTTAAACCAGTGTCAAGGTTTGGGGTCTTATGGGCTACCAGATGATGGTAAGCCAAGCTGCAGTTTATGGGTGAGCAGGTTTACTTACAGTTCCCCTTTACTCCTAGAAAGCAGCCTCAGGGGGAGTGCATGATCACCAATGTCGCCACTTTGGGCAGCCCTAGGTTTCTGTTTTTGTTCCTCTAACCCTATGAGGCTATCAGAAACATAGATAAGTCTCTTGGCTTCTACATCCAGATTACAAATGTTGCCAGGGCAAAAGGGGTCCCAACTGCTAGATTCACTTCTCTGGGTTTGTTTCTTTTACTGACACTCAGCAGGTAATTGATTACTAGTTTATTATATTTTTAATGCTTTAAGAAAGAATTATTTTTATATATCACCCGGCTTTATTGTTGTCTTTACCAGGGGGATTATCTGAATTACCTAGACATCCATTATCTGGAACAGAGTTCTGTCTCTCTTCACTTGTCTTAATTGAAAACTAGAGTCAGCACCCCTGAATATCAGCGGAATCCACTGCACCATAATCTGTGGATTATGCTGTTAAAGCAAACTAAATATGGCCTGAGAAAGATTCCATACTTTTATATTTGGGTCCTTGTGGAGGAATTGCAACCTAGTTTAATGGGTAGACAAGATTGAAAACCTAACTTAGGAATATGTGCCTATAACAATAGCTGAGTCTTGGCCAATCCCAGTGGCTGTAATTCAACCATTCATACACTGCTGAGTGTTCAAATTGTGTTCAAATAAGGCAAAAACTGAGCTGTAACCCATCCAGCCATTCTGTACCTCACTTCCAATTTCCATATGTCATTCCTTTTTTTTTTTTTTTTAAGAAGGAGTTTTGCTGTTTTGCTCTGTTGCCCAGGCTGGAGTGCAGTGGCTCGATCTCAGCTCACTGAAACCTCTGCCTCCCGGGTTCAAGCAATTCTCCTGGCTCAGCCTCCTGAGTAGCTGGGATTACAGGAGCATGCCACCACAGCCGGCTAATTTTTTTGTATTTTTAGTAGAGACGGGGTTTCACCATGTTGGTCAGGCTTGTCTTGAACTCCTGACCTCGTGAGCCACACACCTCGGCCTCCCAAAGTGCTGGGACTATAGGCGTGGGCCACTGCGCTCGGCCCTCCCTTTTTTTTTTTTTTTTTTTTTGGTCTATAAATCTTCTTCCACCATGTGACTGCGCTGAGTCTCTGTGAATCTGTTGTGATTCTGGGGGCTGCCCGATTCGCAAACCGTTCATTGCTCAATTAAACTCCTTTAAATTTAATTCAGCTGAATTTTTTCTTTCATCAATGCCCATATTCTGAAGGTGTGAGTGAGCCTATACCAACAAGGTCAGGCTCAAACCTAGCCATTTTCTTCCAAAGTGTTAACCACAGTATTAAATAGCACCAAGGTTTTTAAAATAACTGAGACATTTACACACAAATATATTTTTAAAAAATAGAGATGGCCGGGCACGGTGGCTCAGGCCTGTAATCCCAGCACTTGGTAGGCTGAGGCAGGCGGATCACCTGAGGTCGGGAGTTTGAGACAAGCCTGACCAACATGGAGAAACCCCGTCTCTACTAAAAATACAAAATTAGCCATGCATGGTGGCGCATGCCTGTAATCCCAGGTACTTGGGAGGCTGAGGCAGGAGTATTGCTTGAACCTGGGAGGCGGAGGTTGCAGTGAGCCGAGATCGCGACATTGCACTCCAGCCTGGGCAACAAGAGTGAAACTCCATCTCAAAAAAAAAAAAAAAAAGAGATATAATCCAGTACCTTATATCTGTGCTACACCCTCATACTGTAGACTTTGTATGACTGTACGATGCTCTTCTTTGCATGACTATACAAGGCCCTTCAAAACCCGAGAAAAGTGTTCCTATTCTCATGTCAAAACTTCCTAGCACTATTAATGGAATGAACTGTTGGGGGAAAATGAAATAAAAAAGCAATGTTATTTCCCCTAAATCTTTAGCAAGCACTTGTTGGATTAGTGAATCTTTGCCCTTGCGTGCAAGTCAGAGGATGGCAGCTCAAACTCACTAGAATCCATCTGGTTGTCTCCTCTTTTCTTTTGTCTCACATGCTTTGTTATGTGTCAGTTTAACTATACATATTTTAAAATAAGGACTTTCAGGGCAAAACATCTTACCATATACTATCACCGTAACTTGATGTAAACTTGAACTTAGTATACAGTAAGGCTGAGCTTATAAAATGTTCATTCAGGCTTACGTCAAGTTATGGTGGTAGAATATGGTAAATGAACTTATGTGATCTTATAAACTTAAAAACTGCTTATAAACTGCTCTAAAACTTTTTTTAAAAATTAAAAATAAAACAAATTCAAGGTATGCTCTTCTACTGGATATGCCATCTTAATTTTCTGTAACGGAAACTATCCTTTTGCCAACATCTACTCAGATGACTGGACTAATACAGTCATGCCTAGATCAACCTCAGGGATATGATCTGAAAAATTAGTCATTAGGGCATTTCATCACTGTGCAAACATTTTAGAGAGTATTTAACACAAACCTAGATGGTATAGCCTACTCCACACCTAGGTTATACGGTGTAGTCCATTGCTGCTGGGCTACAAACCACTACAGCATGTTACTGTATTGAATACTGTAGGGCAATGGAACACACAGATACGTATTTGTGTACTTAAACACAGGAAAGATACAGTAAAAATATGGTATTATAGTCTTATAAAACCATGGTCGTACATGTAGTCAGTCATTGACGGAAAGGTCTTTGTGTGAAGCACAAATGTAGTTCCAATTTGAGCATGACATCTTGTTGAAGGTTTAAGAATTAACCTGTATACTGAGAGTACATGTGGCTTCAGGTTGTTCACATACATATATTTTCAGGTTGTTCATACATATTATATGCTATTATAAGGTATTTTAAACTACCATGAACACCACAATAAAACATGGGAAAATGTTAATGATTTATTAGAGGAAAATAACTCAGTTATGAATATTGAAGCCCATTCTAAAGATAGAATTTTTGAAGCTAAAGAATATGCCCTAGATAACTACTATAGGTATTGTAAAAACAATTTGTTTTGAAAACCCAGAGGGCATATTCAAAAACAAGAATCTACCATACAGAAAGGTAGTCGCCATCTCAAAACTCTCATATATAGCAAAGGACTTTGGTCTTCCCAAGATAGCCATTTGGTTGTGCCTAAGTCATTCCCCAGAACTTTGATGTGCCTCGCACATGAAAGCACCCATAAATAATGGCAAGAACAAATTCACTACAAATTTTCAAAATTATTGTTAGAAAATTTTTCTCAAGAAGCTCTATGGGTAGATGAATCTTTTCTTCTCTGTGTTGATCATAACCCTCCAAAAAACTAAAACTATAGCAAGGCTTCAGTTTTCCACCTCCAGTACCATTTGCGCATTTACAAATGGATTTCATTCAGTTTTCCAAAATTTTAAAAAATTGAACGTTGTTTCAACAATATTTTCAAAAGTAAAATTGTGTAATTTGGGTTGGACTGAAGCTTTCTCTTCTAAAAGATTAATACTTTAAGTTAGTGTTGTCAAATAGGGCTTTTTACAATGATGAAAATGTTCTATATCTGTGCTGTCCACCTGGTAGGTATGACATGCCACGTGTGGCTATTGAGCATTGAAATGGGAATAGTACAACAGCTGTTACCAAAACCTAATAACAAGTATCATTCAAAGCTTGCAGATTTTGTTTTTCCAACTGGGAAATACAAAACATTTAGCACTGTTAATGGACAGAGAAATCCACTTCAGTAGTGAAATTCTTAAGATTCTCCCATTAAAACATACACTTTTTGTCCTTATTCTCAAAATCTGAGAAAGCAACACAAATTTATGGTCTTCTTTAAATCAACATTTGAAAACACCATCGCAAAATTACAACTGAGACAGTGAGAGATCTAACCTAACCAATTCCATCTTGCTTCTAACCTCCAAGCTGTCCTTGTTCATTCCTGGTCGTAGGCTGACCTAACTTTGGGAGGAACTTAGTTTATAGTTTAGCTTTGAAACAAAGACAATAGCAGCCCTTTCCAAAACAAACCCGCTTCCTGCCTGGGGACTAGACTGCTTTCGCAGGACTAACAAATTAGCCACAAGATTATAAATTATGGTTTAGGAGTCATGCAGCTGGAGGCTGCAAGATTCTAAACCTCCCCCAATTGCTCCTCAGGATAACATCACTATTGTAAAACCGAAGATCAGTTCTTGAGATATTTTGCAGCCCCTGTACTCTATGGATCAGCTAGCACCACCCATAACGATAAACTGGCTCATCTGGTCTTGTGGCCCCCATCCAGAAATTAAGCCAACACAAGAGGACAGCTTCGACTCCCTCTGATTTCATCTCCGACCCGACTAATCAACTTTCCCAACTCACTGGTCCCCTACCCACCAAATTATCCTTAAAAACTGCAATCCACTTGGGGAGACTGATTTGAATAATAATAAAACGGGTCTCCCACACAGCCGGCTTTGCATGCCCGTCTTGATAAATGGTTCTGTCTAGGCAGTGGGCAAGCTGAACTCATTGGGTGGTTACACATTTTCAAATTTTCAGAGCTTTCCTTAGACTAAAACTTTACCATCAGTCCTAAGGTAGTATGATCCATGCTACAAAACTCGCCATAAAACCTTACTATGTAACACTGCTATAGAAATCTATAAAGTGTTTCCTTCGTAGGAGGGCCGTAGGCAGCCATGGCGCCCAGCAGGAATGGCATGATGTTGAAGCCCCACTTCCACAAGGACTGGCAGCAGCGTGTGGCCACGTGGTTCAACCAGAAGATCCGCAGAATCAAGGCCCGGCAAGCCAAAGGGCGCTGCATCGCCCCGCGCCCGGAGAGTCGGGACCCATCTGGCCCATTGTGCTGTGCCCTGCTGTGCGTTATCACATCAAGGTGCGCGCCGGCAGAGGCTTCAGCCTGGAGCTCAGGGTGGCGGGCATTCACAAGAAGGTGACCCGGACCACTGGCATCTCTGTGGATCCGAGGAGGCAGAACAAGTCCACCGATTCCCTGCAGGCCAATGTGCAGCGTCTGAATGAGTATTGCTCCAAACTCATCCTCTTCCCCAGAAAGCCCTCGGCCCCCAAGAAGGGAGACAGTTCTGCTGAAGAACAGAAATTGGCCACCCAGCTGACAGGACCGGTCATGCCCATCAAGAATGTAAGGAGAAAGCCCGAGTCATCACTGAGAAGTAGAGGAATTGCAAAGCTTTCGCTAGTCTCCGCATGGCCGGTGCCAATGCTTGGCGGCAATGCTCGGCTCTTCGGCATATGGGCAAAAAGAGCCAAGGAAGCTGAAAAACAGGATGTGTGAAAGCAAAAATAAAGCCCTCTTGGGGACTTGTAATAAATACGTTTTAAAAGAAATCTATAAAGTTTAAACTGATTCTTCCTCTGACAGAGAAAGGCAGTTTCTTAACAGATAGAAAACACGTGAAACTGGTGGTCGGTCACTTCCCAATAAGATCTCAGGAGTGGGGAGAAATAACACAAGATTTAGGAACTATGCCAACGTTTACGACCCCAGGTCTAGAGGTCAAGCCGTGCACTTGGTCTCTCAAGTCGCCTGCTTGGCCCTCTTCCAAGTGTACTTTCCTTCATTAGTGCTCTAAATATTTTCAATAATTTTTCACCCCTGCTCTAAGACTTGCCTCGGTCTCTCCTTCGGCATTATGCTCCTCAATCGAATTCTTTCCTTCTCCTGAGGAGGCAAGAATTAATGTTGCTGCAGACTCCTTACAGATAACTGCCACCGCTAATATGTTGAGATGTTCACACATGCATGTGTGAGGCCCTTCAAAATGTGAGCTGCGGTTAGAATTGGGAAGAGAAGGGAGTGGGGATATGTATCTTTGTTTTCTGATTGCCTTCCATATCTTTTAAAACTAGCTAAGTGCTGCTTCAAGTCAGCCAGATACGAAGGCTTCAATTTATTTAACACAATAAAGAACTTCTATTTGGATCCAAAGCTTACATTATGCTTTAATAAAAGTTACCCTAATAAAGTCAGAAACAATAACAATGAGTCAAAGAAATGCATACAAAGTAGGCCAGGCGTGGTGGCTCACGCCTGGAATCCCGGCACTTTAGGAGGCAGAGGCGGGTGGATCGTGGATCACTTGAGTTCAGGAGTTCGAGACCAGCCTGGCCAACATGGTGAAACCCCCGTTTCCACTAAAAAAAAAAAAATTAGCCGGGCATGGTGGTGCATCATGCCTGTAATTCCAGCTACTCGGGAGGCTAAGGCAGGAGAATCACTTGCATCTGGGAGGCACAGCTTGCACGTGAACCGAGATGGTGCCATTGCACTCTGCACTCCAGCCTGGGAGACAGAGTGAGACTCTTGTCTCCAAAAAAAAAAAAAAAAAAAGCCTACAAAAAGCTTACAAAGTCTAAAATCGGACGAACAAGAGGACACCTGATGGGGGAAAAGAAAAGAGATTGCGATGGGAAGAGAGTGGTGGGGAAATCCGTGGGACAGTTTTCCTATTTTCTGGGTCTGTCCCTTGACCAAGGAACAGCTCAAAAAAGAAAGGATCTAAAATAAATTGTAAAAAATTACCTGTGGTTTCGCATTTGTTTTCTGTCTTTTTCTTTCTTGCTTGATCTTCGATAATACTGGGAAATGTAACCAATGTGATTGGGCTTGTTAATTTGGTGCCTTGCTTGTTTTTCGGGTTTTGGAATTCTGCCAGTCTGTGCTTCCGCGGCCTCTTTCATTTTGTCTTTCATCTCTTGACACAGCCACCCAGGGTGGTGTCAAAGCCTTAGAGCAGAAATGCATCAATATTGAAAGCAAAACGGAGCTTGTTTTCCTTGGTTTCCATGTGAATTTGAAGAATTGAGAGAGAATGAAAGTGCCACAAAAACAAAAGAAAAAAAATTGAGGCGAGTCGTGGACATGATAGACATGATTTTGCAAACAAGGCACATCTAGGAGAAAAGGCGGGAGAAAAATGAAGCTGGAGGTGCCGGGGATTGAACCCGGGGCCTCGTGCATGCTAAGCACGCGCTCTACCACTGAGCTACACCCCCCAACGCTCAACGTGGGCCAAAATATTTCTATGACCTGTTACTATTATCGGTCGTGCCAAGAAGCATATTTTGTCGAACTTAATTTTGAATTCGCTATACTGGATATTGTTTCCTGACTGCGCTGAGAGAAGGAAAACTGAATGTTATATCGAAAGTCCCGTGCTGGGCCTGGGATCTCCCGCTGCAGGTCACCCTCTCGGACGGCCGCTCGACAACCACCTATCGGGGTTTATAAGGGAGCCGTCCTGCCTGGCCGCCCCCCAGAGAAAGGTCTGTGATGGGGTGATTCTGCTTGGAAAGGTTGCCAGGAAACCGCGAGCATAACGCAGAAAGATAAAACGAAAGCCCTAAACGCCGCCGTGGGAATTTAAGTCCAAGGGGCAGAGAAAACAGGAGGGGAATTGCAGATCGGCTTGTCCCGGTCGTAGTTACTGCCCCTGCAGGTTCCCGCGCCCAGCCTCGGGATGGAGAACCTGGCACGCTACGTTTCGCGGGCTCTGAGACTCGGGTGGTGAGAGTCGCCGAGATGCGCACTGGGAAGAGAAAAGAGCCAGGACGCACCTGCATTTATGGCGCCATCGCCCGGGCGGAATCCTCCACGGAATAAAAAGTATGCAGAAGCAAGGCGATTTATGACTGCATAAACCCTCCGTGCTCCTGGAGAGTTCTTAGACCTCTCCACTCCTTGGCACAACTGACCTCTCCACTCTTCGACAAACTGGCAAGCGCTTGCCGCCGTTCGCCAAACCTTGGTACGACAGTCAATCCAGAAATGAGCTTCTGGAACAAATCCTAAATCCTTTTTTGTCTGTCTTCTTCTGATTCGCTCTCATCCTTAAGGGACCTGTTTCTCCTTCAAAACCTGAAAACATCTAACCTATAGTACCAACCCCAGATCCAGGCCTGGCCTTCCTGACCAGTCAAAGCCAGTTGGACTGTGCGCCTAGAAGTGGACAGACATGCGAAATGCCATACTGTATACGTACAATGCATAGGCCAAAGGCGACCCTATGACCCAGAGATTAGAAAGACTCGGACGTCTTTTGACTGGGTTCAGGTCACACTACTCCCAAAATACGACACCTCGGCATTTGAGAAAACAGCAGAAGCAGAAACGTTTTTCTCTGGGCCCTTGTTCCGTGAAGCGGGCCATGAAAGCTACCTGATCTTCCAATTAAAGTAGGTGATAAGACCGTCAATTCAGAGGGGAGAAAATGTACTTGGAGGAAATAAACGAAGACACAGAGATGCCAAAGAGAACCTGAATAAACAGGCTTTGCTAAGTTCACCCCAGTTTATAACCATTAGATCATACCCCCTTTTATCCAATTATACTGCTATGGGACTATCCACTTCATCAAACCTAAGCATAAAAATATAGGAAGTCCTCACTTATTGTCAGTTGGTTTTTGGAAACTATTACTTTAAGCAAAATAAAACTAATTCTACCATAGACTAGACTAATTGATTTAAGAGTTAATTTTCTTGGCAAATGTCTGATCACAAAAACACCAAATTTCTAAATAAGGACTCCAAACACTTCTAACACTAAATATTGAAAAAAATATGAGCTGCACCTCAAGTTAAGATCAGCAAAAACGACATGATTGATTTATTTTTGGTGAATCAGTGACTGCAATTCTAGTGGTGGCAGGTTATATCAAGGAATAAATGTTTGTGAAATAGCAGTTGTAAGGAGCAACTCCTACTAACACACAATTCGTAAAACATTGTGTCCGGAATTGGCGGGTTCTTGATCTCACTGATTTCAAGAAAGCCACAAGTCCTCCGGATGAGTGTTACAATCGTTAGATGCGGTGTAGCCAGAGTTCATTCCCTCTGACGTTCGGATGTGTTATAGAGTTTCTTCCTTCTGGTGGTTTGGTCTTCTACTGGCTCAGGAGTGAAACTGCAAACCTTGGCAGTCAGTGTTACATCTTCTAAGGCGGCGCCTCCGGAGTTGTTTGTTCTTGCCCGAGAATTCATGTTTTTCCTAACTTCAAAAGATAAGCTGCAGACCATCAACAAATTACAGCTCATAAACGTAGTGTAAACCCAAAGAACAATCAAGATCCATCGCAGAGAGCGAAAAATCACTTCCGCACCGTGGGAAAAAGCCCGAACACGTTGTCGCAGTTGGTTCCGGCAGCCTGCTTTTATTATCTTGTCTGGCCCCACCCACATCCTGCTGATTGGTCCATTTTACAGAGAACTGACTGGTCTGTTTTACAGAGAGCTGATTGGTCCATCTTCACAGAGTGCTCATTGGCGCGTTTACAATCCCTGAGCTAGACACAAAAGTTCTCCAAGTCCCCACCAGAGTAGCTAGATACAGAGTGTCCATTAGTGAATTCACAAACCCTGAGCTAGACACAGGGTGCTGATTGGTGTGTTTACAAACCTTGAGCTAGATACAGAGTGCCGATTGGTGTATTTACAATCCCTTCGCTAGACATAAAGGTTCTCCAAGTCCCCACCAGAGTAGCTAAATACAGAGTGTCCATTGGTGCATTCACAAACCCTGAGCTAGACACAGGGTGCCGATTGGTGTGTTTACAAACCTTGAGCTAGATACAGAGTGCCGATTGGTGTATTTATAATCCCTTAGGTAGACGTAAACGTTCTCCAAGTCCCTACCAGACTCAGGAGCCCAGCTGGCTTCACCCAGTGGATTTTCCACCGGTGCCGCAGGTGGAGCTGCCTGCCAGTCCCGTGCTTTGCGCCCGCACTTCTCAGCCGTTGGGTGGCCGATGGGATTGGGCGCCGTGGAGCAGGGGGCGGCGCTCGTCGGGGAGGCTCGGGCCGCGCAGGAGCCCATGGCGGGGAGGGGCGTCTCAGGCATGGCGGGCTGTAGGTCCCGAGCCTTACCCCGCGGGGAGACAGCTAAGGCCCGGCGAGAAGTCGAGAACAGCAGCTGCTGGCACAGGTGCTAAGCCTCTTACTGCTCGGGGCTTGCGGATTAGGGGGCCGCTCCGAGTGCGGAGCCCGCCGAGCCCACGCCCACCCGGAACTCGCGCTGGGCCCGCAAGCGCCGCGCGCAGCCTCGGTTCCCGCCTGCGCTTCTCCCTCCACACATCCCTGCAAGCTGAGGGAGCCGGCTCCGGCCTTGGCC